>NC_000001.11:245275030-245426545 GCF_000001405.40 Homo sapiens | reverse complement strand
TCAAAAACAACGATGGAAGATACCACACAAGAGATTGAGATGGACAGAAAAACAATCACGTCCTGAGAAAGGAATGTGTTTGGGCCGACGGCAAGGAGTTAGAGGAGTCAGTGGGAGAAAGTGAGGGACAGCTTGGCAAGTGTGGAAGAGAAAGCAGACAACAGGGATCCCAGAGAAAGGAATGAGAGTGACGCTGTATGGAGATGAACACCAACATTTATCCAGAAAATTCCAGACCCAGGAGAGACATATTTTTCGTCAACAGGAAAACACTGTGTAAAGGTAGGAATCTTCAAGAGCAGATGGAAAAACAGGAAGGGAGGAAAGAAGGGAGGGAGGAGGGAGGGAGAGAGAGGAAGGGGGAGAGAGAGAAAGAAGCTCTAACTAATGTAACAGAGTCAATAATGAGCAAAAAAACAGAATAAAGGATTTGAAGATAGTAAGTTCTGATCTGAAGTCATCAGAACCTGAGATAACAGAATGGAAAGGTATTTGTTTATATTAAGAAAACAGGAAAATTTAAATAAAATCACGGAAAATAAAAAATGCCCTTAATATAATTTTACTTGGAAATCTGATTAGAATTTGGTAGAAAGGCTGTCAACTAAACATAAAAGCTGAACACCAAAAATATGACAATTTAGAAGTGATGTCTGAGGGCAGAACTGGAAGTCTCTGTGCTCACCAACGCCATGGAACTGGCGATACCAGCTCTGCCAAAACTTGACAGTGTCTTTGTGCTCATGTGATCTTTGTCCATTTTCACCATTTTTCAAACTCTTGCTCTGAATGTAGATGAAAATTCTACAGAAGCTAATTTTCTCCATGAATAAAAAAACACAGCTGGGCGCCATGGCTCACGCCTGTAATCCCAGCACTTTGAGAGGCGGAGGCGGGAGGATCATGAGGTCAGGAGATCGAGACCATCTTGGCCAACACGGTGAAACCCCGTCTCTACTAAAAATACAAAAATTAGCCGGGTGTGGTGTTGGACGCCTGTAGTCCCAGCTACTCGGGAGGCTGAGCCAGGAAAATCGCTTGAACCTGGGAGGTGGAGCTTGCAGTGAGCCGAGATTGCACCACTGCACTCCAGCCTGGGCGACAGAGCGAGACTCCATCTCAAAAAAAACAAAAACAAAACCCATGAGTTTTAATGGTTATTTGGGAAAGAAAATCAATGCAAAGATATGAGGTCACCCAAAAGATTCATTTTCTGTTTCAGGGTTCAATTCTATGCATAATCCAGAATCCACTAACTGCTCTTCAAATATACATGAAGGTTCCACTGCCTCAACCTACAAAGCTAGGGTTTCACCCAAGAGTTTTTATTGGGTTTCATGTACTCCATACTTTATAAGGTAAAGTACATCATTAAGTCCACCTTTATTCAAAGTGAACTGTCAGCAAATGGGAAAATCTAATGATACCCTACTTCACCATTTTCTATTAATGTGAAAATCATGCAAAAAAAAAAAAAAGGCCCTCGTTTGAAATGTTCTTGATGTTCAAAGCCAGCACATAATAGTTAACCAACTTGACGATCAGTTGTCTCGATCTCTTTTCTGGGTGACTGTTACTATTTTTTCCAGAAACAGTGTCTTTTCTCGAAAAAAAAAGGGAAGGTACTGAAATTCTGAAGCAAAGACAGCTACTAAGATGCTGACCATTTAAAGACAATCGTGAGAGGAAGAAAAGCACAGAACAGGTGCTTCATGCTCCATCGTTCTCTATAGCAGTGCATCTCAAACTATCCGGGTGAAGGACCAATTTTTCTTTTACTTCTAGTTATACACAAAATGCAAGCCCCGATTTTTTATTCTTAGATTCAACAGACAGAAAATTATTCCATCAGCAGATGTTTCTAAACGCTTCCTCTCCATTTCTATACTTATCACAGACCAGTAACCGTGTGTGGACCAGCACAGACCACACACTGCTTATTCAAAATTGAAATTCTTATTTTATAGGCATTGAATTTGAAATGTAACAAGGTTCACCCAGACCTCCACCCACAGTTCTAGAAAGTAAGCATTTAAAAACACAGGCTAATTCCACAATATGTACATATTTCAAAACATATTTTACTCCGTAAATATATACAATGTTTATTAGTCAATCAAAACAATACTCAGCACTTTGGGGGGCCAAGGCAGGTGGATCACTTGAGGTCAGGAGTTCAAGACCAGCCTGGGCAACATGATGAAACCCCATCTCTACTAAAAATACAAAAATTAGCTGATGTGGTGGTGCACACCTGTAATCTTACTCGGGAGGCTGAGGCAGAATCACTTGAACCTGGGAGGCAGAGGTTGCAGCGAGCGGAGATCGCGCCACTGCACTCCAGCCTGGGAAACAGAGTGAGTGGGACTCCATCTCAAAAATAAATAAATGAATAAATTTTAGGCCAGGTGCAGTGGCTCATGACTATAATCCCAGCACTATGGGAGGCCAAGGTGGAAGGATTGCTTGAGCCTAGGTGTTCAAGACCAGCGTGCGCAACAAACATAGGGAGACTCATCTCTTCAAAAAATAAAAATAAATTAGCTGGGCACAGTGGTGCATTCCTGTGGTCCCAGCTACTCAGGAGGCTGAAGTGGGAGGATCGCTTGAGCCCGGGAGGCTGAGGCTGCAGTGAGCTGTGATTACGTCACTACACTCCAGCCTGGGTAATAGAGTGAGATTCTGTCTCAAAAAAAAGATTTTAAAATAAAAATAAATACATTTTAAATAAAGGTTAATATCACAGAGAAAAGTGGACATCTGCATGAATGAGAGCGACGCTATATGGAGATGAACACCAACATTTATCCAGAAAATTCCAGACCCAGGATAGACATATTTTTCGTCAACAGGAAAACACCGTGTAAAGGTAGGAATCCTCAAGAGCAACAACAAATGTGTCACCTCTTATCTCTTCCTGCTTCAAATCTTCAACAAATTGGGGGTTTTTCTGTTGTTTTTGTTATTGTCATTCTACTCACCTTCTCAAACAAATTACAGGGCCTAGTAGTTTCACACCTGTTTTATAAGCAATCATCAGTTCATGATTACGGTGAAAAAAAAAAAACCCTATAATAAAGTGTCTTCCTGTGTCTGTTTAGCACAGAGAATAGGAACCTGGGGTCTCAAGTGAGAGGAAACGAGGATGGATTTCCCACTCCGCCACTCCCGGCTATGTGGCTCTGGGTCAGTAACTCAGGGAACCATCTTCTTTATCCATAAAACAGAGAAAATGGTAGGCTCTGCCTCACAGGGTTACTGTGAAGATGAAGGGGGTTTGCATATGAAGAGGTAGTTAATAGTGAGTGATGCCCACTCAGTGCTCAATATACGTCAGCCACATTGGCCACAAATTTAGCAAATGCCATCCCTCCCATATAAAACGAAATGGCCCCCAGCATAGCTGTTGCTTCTTTCTTTCTTTCTTTCCTTTTTTTTTTTTTTTTTTGAGACTGAGTCCAACTCTGTCACCCAGGCTGGAGTGCAGTGGCGCCATCTCGGCTCACCGAAACCCCACCTTCCTAATTCAAGTGATTCTCATGTCTTAGCCTCCCAAGTAGCTGGGATTATAGACATGCACCACCATGCCCAGCTAATTTTTGTATTTTTAGTAGAGACGGGGTCTCACCATGTTGGCCAGGCTGGTCTTGAACTCCTGGTCTCTAGTGATCCACCCACCTTGGTCTCCCAAAGTACTGGGATTACAGGCGTGAGCCACCATGCCCAGCCCAGGACAGCTTCCTGAAAGCAGGCCACCCCTGTGTCTTGACTTGGAGCTATAGGAGAGTTCCAGGGCCCCGCAGACTCAGAGGACTCTCTCTCCATTGCAGTCAAGCAGGAAGAGTGGAAAGTGGTGAGCACAGATTGGAGGTGTAGGAGCTGACTCTGCCCCAAACCCCTATGAGGACAGACACTTATCAAAAGCTGTCATTACCATCCCCTTACACAGCTTTGCTTCAGCTAAAACCAAAAGGCTCTTTGAACTCAGTTGACTGTCTGACAGCATAAGCTGGGCAGGTTTTGGCTTATCACATGGACGTTTGGGGACCTAACTGTCAGGTACATCCCTGGTTCTGCCTCTTGACAGGATGAGCCTGGAGCCAGTCAGTCACACTTCTGCTTTGGGTGCCCCTCAGTGACAGGGGGGTTATTAATATGCTGCCTCCCTCGCTGGGAGGTGGGAAAGCCCAGCTAATAATAGTTCTCATCAATAATGATGAGAATAACATGGCAAAATATGGTAATGAGTAAAGGGTGGGGGGGAAATCTATAGAAAGAATTGTTCTTTTTCACATGGTACTTGTTTCCCACTGTACATTGTAAACCCTTTGAATACAAACCACATACTTTTAATGCTTATACCATGAAGCTCCAAGTACTATCAGCGTTCACTGCACAGAAAGTAATAGTAAAGATTTGGGGAGCCTTAGGGATCCTTTCCAGCTCTTTGAAAGCTCATACTGCAAGCCCTTGTCGTTCTGAAGTCATGAGTTTCAAGTCTTTGTTTGCTGCTAGCATCACCTGCAGAGCCTGCCCCAGTTGACATCACTGGCCCATACATTTTGGGTTTTGCCTCAGTATCTCCCTTCCACCCTAGGCTTTCGCTAGTGATTTGTTATTCCTTTCCCTGCTGTGTGTTTGCTTGTTCGTAAATCCTCCTCTGATATCCTGACCTCTGGCCTCAGGCACACCTTGTCCAGTACTATGAGGTTCCCAGGCCCCCCTCATTTCCACATCCTTTCCCCAGCTCCAAAGACGCTGCTGGTTTCCTCGCACCAAGAATTTAAGGAGAACTCATGTTCTCCTTAAATTCTGCCAATTGGGAACCCTCACTTCTTATTTCTTCCTGCTTCAAATCTTCTGGGTTGCCTTGTGAGTCAGTCAACCTTCTGTAAAATTCTCTGGCTGGAACTGAACGGAAGACTCCACTTTCAAAGAATTTCAGGTTAGAAAGGCACGTCGGAAGTCAATTCCCATCTGAGCATTGAATGTTCCCTCTAGGATCGAGGCCAGGTAATTACTCAACATAACTTTGATCTCCCTTAGGGACACAAATCTCACTCTCTCCTGAAGCCATCGGAATTGCAAGTTCTTCATTCTGAGCTGGGAGGTCCGTCTCCTCCCTCGTTATTTAGCCTTTGCCTACATAACTGGTTGCTCTACAGAACGAACCAAGTCTCCATTTATACAATAGCCTGAGAGATAGCTGAGGGCATCCATGATGTACCCCAGAGTCCTTCTCTTCTCCAAACTGAACCTGCCATGCCATGGCTTCTTAGTCAGCCTCCTTTGAACATGTTCTAATAACCTCCTAGGAGCTTCTGTGCTTGTGACATTTCCTCATAACTGTTCCCTGTCTTTATTCTCTCCCTAAATGGCATGGACATGACCTCCCAGTGAGCTTGGACTCCCTGCTTAATGGTCTGGGACAACACAGAGATTCATGTCCAGACAGGGCTAACACAATGGTCCCCATTGTTGGGTGGCCAGCCTATACATATTTCCTATTACTTCCCACACATTCAAGTTGTCCCAAGTGTTCATACGACAATAAACACAGCACCAAAATACAATGAAGACCCTCAAAGCCGGTCTTCCAACAAGCCCTGTGTGCTGCCTTTAGGGTCCCATCATCCAGGGTCTTAGCCCTCTGTCCTCCTCTGCCTTGCCGCTGTCCTAATCAGAGCCCCTTCCCCATATTTGTGTTCTGGATGTTACCATTCATAAAGATAACAAGCAAAGCCACACAATATTCCTTCTTACTGACATAGTAGTAACCATTTCTACAGTACTTTATAATTTCTCATCATCTTATGTTAGTCTTCGGAGCGACCCTGCAGAGCAGGTATCATCCTCATTTTATACATGAAGAAACTGAGGCAGAACTGCTGCAACTGGAACCCAAAAGGTCTTGTGATTTCGTATCTGATGCTATCGCATTTATTCTATGTCCTGTTTACTCAGGAGCTTGCAAATCTTAGACAGAGAAAGTTTTCCAAGGTTCAGTTCTGAGCATTAAATTAAAACATGAGTTATACAGAAAAATGTAGAGCAATCCGGTTTCTATTTCTGGCTGTGCTATAAACTCACTCCTAGTTGAACCTTCCTGGTCCTCGGTTTCCTCATTCATAAATAAGGAGATGGAACCAGACAATCCCTGAAGTCCTTTCCTGCTCAGCTGTCCTTCGTCTCCCGCCCCGTCTCTGCCATGTTGCTAAAATTAGGCAGAAAACATTGTTGAAATACCTTTCTTTTTTGTTTCTTGTATTTTTGAAGTTCCCAAGATTAGCTGGAGAGTATTTGATAACACTCTGGCTAATCTGTCAAGAAGCGGGGGAGAAAACCTGCCATCTATTTAATAGCTTTTAAGCAGTTCAATTTCTGTAATGAGAAGATAAATCTGGAAACACCCACCAGAGGGATGCCTCTACAAAGTCCTGATGCTGCAAAAGAGCATCTTTGGAGCTACACATCAAGAGAGCAGCGACTCTCGACCCTGGGGCCTCTCACAATGTCTGCAGACATTTTTGGTAGTCACGACTGGAGGAGGGTACTGCGGGCACACATCGAGGGGTACAGGCCAAGGATGCTGCAGCCCACCCTATAACACACAGGACAGTCCCCACCACAGTTAGCTGGCCCGAGAGGTCACAGTGCCATGGCTGAGAAACTCTGTCTTAATGAATGACATCACAGAACGGCCCCAAACTCTTTCTAGTGTTTCAGCTGAGCTAGTCCACGTGAGGGGCTAACCAGCTGGGCTCATCGGAAAGAACCAAGGATCTGAACAGCTCTCTTACCGTGCAAAGAAGGAGGCGGCCACCGATGTGCCTGTGGAAGTCTCGCTGGCCACGCAGGAGCCCTGCGAGGCTGGGACACTGCAGGCGGAAGGCTTGTCTGCATTGTAGCGGTTCAGCACTGCTTCTGTTAGTCCCTCCCGGCTACTCTCTGTCATCAGCTGGGAGATCTGACAAAGAAAATGGATACGGAGCTCATTACCTGTGGCTCACTGCTTTTCCTGACCACTGACAGCATCTCTCTATTTGGGGGAGGGAGGCAAGAGGGAACAGGTTTCTATCCCACCTGCATTCAGTTACACGTGGATGCTTAGGGCTACTGGAAGGCTATTTTCCAGCATTTTAGCTAGGATACTTCCCCGTTTTCATTAAAAATAATGGTATAAAATTATCCCCCGACATTGTAAGTTTCAATTATGTCTGTGTCTTCCCTCCATTTGGAGGGGAAAACATGAACCATTATCCATGCACTCTTTGCAGCCCAAGACCAGAACAGTAACATTAACTAATGCTGGCTTCTTACCAGGAATAGCCCCGAATGCTCTGAAATGGAGCAGTGGGGCAAAGGCATAGTTCTATGAAGAGAGAAGTAAGCCTGCTAATAAAGAACATAAGGAATCAAAATACAACGGTATTTGGTGGTGCTGGTGGGGGTGGTGGTTTGCTGTGGAAAGTCAATAAAACAGGCAACATAGAGAAACTAATAAAAATAAATATAGCCACAATGAATTACCAATATTTTTTGAAGGGTTCAGATCATTTCAACAGACTTCATTTTCCTGCTGGTTCATTAAGATAAATGGCTTCTGTTTCATTCGAAATGATTGCCTTTATAATGGAAGTTCTAGTGGATGGAGCTCGGTCCATTTTGCCTAAATCTACGTAATAAGCTGTGAAGAATCAAACTTTGGGGCAAAACAAGGATGTTGTGTAGAAATACACTTTTGAAAAGTGCTAATCCCCACGGCAAATATAATAATTATGCAGGCAGAGTCTAAGTATTTGGAAAACCTGTTACTTGAAATCTTCAGTCTACTTGCAAAAAAAGAAAAATGTCAGTTTTTTAAAAAAGAGGAAACTTTAGTTGAAAAAAAGTCACCAGTCTATTCAAACCCTTAAATGCTAAGTGGAAAATGTTTCCAATCACCTACTAAATACAAGTGCAATAAAGCAAAGATCCGGAACAGTTTCCACTTTGTAACTGAATAGGCCAGCGAGCCCTAAGAGTAGCCCATTTGTGAACCTTTAAAAGTAAAAACATTTCTACTTTTCATTATTAGCAGAATAGCCATTACTCTGAATCCCATTGACTGGGAACTTTGCTCCGCTTAAATTCATGCTCTTACTTGGAAAGCCTTGGCATTATTCAACGGAAATTCTGCCAACACACACTTTCTTATTCTCATTCATTTAACGCATTATAAGGAAACTTGACCCAAGTGACAGAAACTGGAGAGGTGGCTGCAAAGGCAGCTGCTGGCCCGGAGGACATTCCTGCTGACGGAGCAGAGAGCCCGCAGAGCCTCTCCTCCGGCTTCCTTTGCTGCTGTGTGGTGCGGGCTCCCGTCCACTGGCTGCTATTGTCCCCGCGGAACAGGGCAGCTTGGAGGGCGCAGCTGAAACAACTGGAAAGCTGAGGATGTGGCGATGCACACCGTCATCCCCACTCAACAGCATCGATGAAGCTCCAGGGCGCGCATCATGCCTCCCGGACCATGTCCAAAGACAAAACAAAACCCCCAAATTCATGCGACAACTTTTTTTTTCCCCCAAGAATCTAAGACATACATCTGATTTTGACACACCGTGACATGTGAAACAAGCCACTCTGCCTGGGTTATTTCCTTTCATTACCATATTTCTCATCTAAAATTTGGAGGGAAGGGATTCCTTATGCACAAACTGTCCTGCAGGTGCCCTGCAAAGCCAGAGAGCAGCCGCTGGAACGCGTGTGGTGAATGGCAGGATGCCTGACACAGAGGCACAGCTTTCTGGGTGGGTCCAGATTCCCACATCTGGTCCAGAAGGGATGTCAGCGACCTGTGGGTTCACAGCTTTTGAAAATGTCTCTGGGCAAATGAATTTCAATGCACGAGCTTCCTGACTAGAAAGCTATTGGCTATCTTGTGCCAAGCAAGATTGTTTCTCCTAATTTTAAAGAATCAGGGATTAGTGAGCATGAGACACCAAATTCCCAAGCCTATAAATAGAACTATTCAATCATCAATTGTTTTTAAAAATCAGGATCACAGAACGTTCTAGAGCTAGAAGGGATTTCCAACATCATCATCTTCAAAACTCTTCTCCTTAGATAAGACACCTGAAGACCAGAGAAGCAATTTGCCCAAGCCAATTTGTATCTAGGAATAGGACCCTGACTCTTAAACCATTCCTAGCACCTACCTCCTTCCTTTAACTGCCCCTCTTCTAATTTAAGAAAAAAAAAAGTCTTCCCCTTCTAATTAAAAAAATGTGATATATAGAAAAAAATCCAATAATAAAACATACACATGTATCCACTACCACTATTCACAAATGTTAGCATTTTTTATCTTAGAAAATATTTTCTAAAAAAAAACAAATATTATGTAAAATTAAAACTGCACATTTTCCTAGTCACGCTGCCTTTCCTGCTCCATTTTTCAGACACAGCCAGTGTCATGATGGGGCGGGGGCAGGTCCATGTCCTTATTTCTCATGGTGTGCTTTCCATCACACTCCCTCCCTCCTTAGAACCTAACAGCTCATTTTTTGGTTTCTTTTGTGCATTCTTTAGATTTTGTTCTGCTAGTTCCACAATGGGGAGAGGGCATCCCTCCAAATGCCTGCTCTATAGACTCTCACCACCTAAAAGATCATGTTCTCATTTGTATTTATGCCCAGTATCCTCTTCAGAGATGACAGACTTTCAGAAATAACAGACCAGGATTTGGCTACAGGAACTGCTAATTTACCTCCCCCTCAGTTTCACACTCCAGGGCTCCAGCCTCGGGCAAGGTCCTCAAACACACCTCCTGCTCCTTCTGCCGTGGGGCCTTTGCTCTCCATATGGAATGCTCCCACTTTTCCTGCAGATGTAAGCTCAAGCCTCACTTCCTCCGAGAAGCCTTCTTCCAGCCTATGCTTCCTCTGCTGGATGCTTTTACAGAGCCTCAATCTTTTCCCTCAGTATCTCCACTTCGGTTCATATCATGCATTTAATAGTAAGTCATTTTCCCCCACTACACAAAAGCCCCAGGTCTCTAGGTCTAAGGCTGGTTTGCTCACCACTGTATACCAAGGTCAATACAATGGCTGGCACACAAAGATGCTCAAAACATGTTTGTGAAATAAATCTGAGCTATTCTTACTTTCTACTGCTCACGTGTATCTACGTAAATTTTCTTAAGTCTTTTAAGTAAGAGTCATTTCTTTAAAACATTTCATTGCTTTTCTATTTTGTTTGATTCTTTTTTTTTTTTTTTTTTTGAGACAGAGTTTCGCTCTTGTTGCCCAGGCTGGAGTGCAATGGCGTGATCTCAGCTCACTGCAACCTCCGCCTTCCGGGTTCAAGAGATTCTCCTACCTCAGCCTCCAGAGTAGCTGGGATTACAGGCATGCGCCCCTGTGCCTGGCTAACTTTTTTTTTTTTTTTTTGTATTTTTACTAGAGACGGGGTTTCTCCATGGTAGCCAGGCTGATCTCGAACTCCCGACCTCAGGTGATCCGCCCACCTCAGCCTCCCAAAGTGCTGGGATTACAGGCGTGAGCCACCGCGCCTGGCCTATTTTGTTTAATTCTTAAGATATGACAGTCTTTTCTCCCATCCTCATCACTGTCAAAGGATAGTGTTTTGGCTCCACAATGTTTGGGGATCAAGAGCTGCCTCTTTTTTAGTCTACTAGTTCATTTGTTCATTCATTCGTATGAACAACCATGTGTTGGGTGCTTGGTATATGTCAGGCAAAAAAAAAAAAAAAAGTAGATGCTGAAGATTCAGGAGGCTCTAAGAAACGTGCAGACATTTCCTGTCAATATCTTGTGCAAAGACAGTCTGCAAGATAGTGCTCCAAAAGCAACTTCCATTATCTCTGTTTAGCTCCATTTTTATAATTCTGAAAAACAGAAGAGCGAGGCTTGCTCTCAGTAGAAGCAGCTGTAGCTTCTTCAACAATTACAATCATATCCATTGTAGATGATTCTGAGCGAGAAGGCGCCTCCCTGTTAGACCGGCTATGGTTTTTCCCGCATACACTGGTATGCAGGTCTTTGGAGTGCTGAGTTGGATGGATAACTTCTTACCAAGGTGCCATCTTGCTTGCCACCAAGATACTTGCTAATAGGAATTTACTCTTCCTCAGCCCTGCAAATCCTCTCTAGGGTTGCAGGGTTACAGTACCTTCGGTTGTAACCGAATTGTCCTATTAATCAAAGAAACAAAATAATGACCTACTACATGAGATCTGGCTATGAAAGAAGCACTCCAATCCAAATTCTTTCTGAAGCTCTCTGAAACGGTGACAGTGTGTCTCTGAGTTGTTTTTATGTCAAGCAAAGAATGGCAGTGATCCATATTCTATGACAATTAAACAGTCATTAACAGCATAAGGGATGCCCTCAGATGTGTCTATCCCTTTGCTGCTGATAACCTCTCCTTCCTCATAGAAGGCACATTGGAAACAACATTAAGTTATGTAGACTGGTTGGCTATTGTTTCCACTTCACAGATGAGAAAACAGAGGCGAGGAGAGGAGTCCGATGATTGGTCCAAAGCCACTCAGCCGTCAAGTAGGGAAGTTGAGCTGGAAACACAGGCCTCTGATTCCCGTTTTTTTCCCCTTCCTTCTACCATCTGACCTCAGTTACTGAAGTTTACTGAATAACCTGAGCACCAGACAGACTTGGGGGATTACAAAAGGTAAACTTTGCTTAGTCTCTGTCCTCAGGAGATTTGAAAGGAAGGTAGATAAAGAAACTTGTAGTCAGCCAGAGACAAATGTTCTGTCCCTTCTCTAAAATAAGAGCGTGTGTCTGTGTGTGTGTAGAAATATTATCTGTGACTTGGAAATGCGGAAGCTTCCAAAATGTGTTTCTAGCCAAGTCTTGAGGTCAAAGAGGCCTCTGTGGGGCCTAGAAGGAAGACTCCATATTCCCTTTCTCAGTTCCCATACGTGAGCCCCGCAGCACCGGGCCTGGGTGCCGAGGCCTGGGGAGGAGGAGGAGCTGAAGCTTGGTCACTTCCGACTGTTTCTGAAGGAAAGAGGCCCTGGGCCCACGGCTTCAGCCCTGCTCAGACCAACACAAACAAGCCTCACGCACCTCAGGCCCCTACCGTGAACTCCCTCATTCTTCAGGCTTCCCACCTCCAGCCGGTTCTCAGGAGTGGCTTCCACTGAATTCCTTGAGGGACTTGAGGAGTTGACCTCCCATCCCACCTCCTCAACAGCACTTTTCCTCTTGGCTTTGGAATTTCATCTCAAGGCAGTGGCCTTTCCTACAAGTCAGTGCGACTCCCCACACTTCAAAGCAAGTCTTCCCAGGAGAGACTGCTTCTTGCTGCTACCTATAACAAAGATGACTCTGGATGTAAAACTCTGCTGGAAGCCTTGGCTACGCTAACTCCACTGGGTGTGGGGATGAGCTCCCGGAGGAAGCCTGCCCCTTCTCCAGCCCCATCTCTGGCCCCCAGGCCAGGTGGGCAGCCACAAGACAGAGCTAAGGACAGGCTTTACTGGATGCATACAGATCCCTCACTGCAGTCCTGAGGTGGTCACCTGTGGATTCCAAGACAATTCAACCCTTTCACCAAAGAGGGAACTGAGGGTCAGAGAGGTTGAGCTCCTTCCCCAAGGGAAATCAGCTAGTAGGAGGAGGAGCCACGGTTGGGATGCTGATCCATTCGGCTGAGGTGGCTTCTGTGCAGCATGTCAGGCCTCAGTTCCATCTCCCTCCCTCCACTCTCCCCTTCAGGACCACTTCCTAACTCGAGGCTGCCCTCAGAGCCCCTCCCTGCAGTCCACTATTAGAAGATGTTCTCCTGAAACTTGAGCCTCACTGCATAATTCTGAATCAAGAGCCTTACTTTTGTTATTTATTTATTTATTTTTGAGATGGAGTCTTGTTCTGTCACCCAGGCTGGAGTGCAGTGGTGCAATCTCGGCTCACTGCAACCTCCGCCTTCCGGGTTCAAGCGATTCTCCCGCCTCAGCCTCCTGAGTAGCTGGGATTACAGGTGGACGCCACCATGCCCAGCTAATTTTTCTATTTTTTTAGTAGAGACAGGGTTTCACCATATTGACTAGGCTGGTCTCAAACTCCTGACCTTGTGATCCATCCACCTCAGCCTCCCAAAGTGCTAGGATTACAGGCGTGAGCCACCGCACCTGGCCAAGAGCCTTATTTTTAAAGGACTATGGCTTACATCTGCGTGTTAGACTCTTAGGAATTTATTTCTTCTCTTGCGATACTGTGAAAGATACATGATTCTTCCTGAGAAAACCTCCAAATATCCATCTAACATGTTTGAAAACCCTACAGTGCTAGTGGAAAGGCCTCATTATCTTCGTTACGTGTATGTGTCACTGTCACCGTCTAAAAGCAGTGGCCGAAAACACACGGGGTGGTCCTAATCACAAGCTTTAAGGGGAACTAAATTTTCACCACGGGATTTTATTTGGTTTAGTTCTGATTGAAACCTGTTTTTAGCTCTCCATCTTGATTACAGGGGACCATTTCACTCCTTAAGGATATCTGTTACTTTCCAAACAGCACATCATATCCCTCGGGGTGGTGGGAAAATGAATACAGGTGGCAGCAAAAGGGGCCAGGCTGCAGGGAGAGGGTGCACATGTGTGTCTGCGCAGGTGTCGACACGTGTGCATGTGCGTGTACATGTGACATTCTCAACGTCCATGAGAATTCCGTGCACCATTAACGAGCAGTGAAAGTCTGCTTTTCACAGGCCACATCGAAATAAAGCTTCTCCTTCTATTTTAACTTTTAATTCACGTCTTTCAACCACATTTAAATGTCTACACTGATACCTCAGTATGAGGAGCTTGGTACTCATTCCCAAAGAAAGAGAGAATCCCAAAGAAAGAGAGAATCCCAAATGTGGTTACCATCTTGACCACAGAATCAAGATAAAAGACGTGTGGCTCTTCCTAAGGTTGCTTCCACAATGCAAATTGCAATCTGTAAGCTGCTGACCTTTAACTTCTACACTGAAGGAAGGACTCTGAGAGCTACCAGAGTGTGTCAGCATGGGCGTTCATCTTAAACGGCATTATTGACCCAGAAAGCTACCTCCCTCTGACTCTGCCAAGACAGCAGGGAACACCAAACAGTATCCGTTTCCTGTGTAGAGACATCTACGGAGAGCAATTGCTTCCTACTCAGTCTTTAATTAATGACATTTAATGACAGGCTCCCCCTCCTCAAATCCCAGAAAATAACATTTAATAACATTTTCTCTTACACAATTAATATCTCACTGCCTTGGGACATCTTTTATTGCTATCTGCTACTTACACTGTTACTTAATGCTTTTATAGTTTTGTAAACAGTGAGTGCTTGATAAATATTTCTGATCCAGGTTAGCACAAATCAACTCACAATTATCTTGGAAAAGACCATCCACAGCTAATTTGTAAACCCTTAGTATTGTCTTAGGATGTGTCTATGCTGTCAGCCGTTATGCTCTTAGAATATGCCAGAATACATTTCTGTGTATTCTATAAAATATAAATTATGAAAGTCAATCTGCAAAGGAAAAGATCAAACAATGCACGCCCGGATCAAAGTTAAATAATGTAGAGTTGATCACGCCGATGTTCCACTGCAGTCAGACACAGAATAGAAAGCTGACGATGATGGACGGAGGGCACCTTACTCCAGTCATCACGATGCAGTGATAGAGTCCACATAAGCCTTATTCAGTCTTTGCTCATAAGAGAGAGAAAGAAAAAAAAATTATGTCCCTTTCTATGTATGAGTCTTTGACTGCAGGAATATGTCTCAATCCCCACATCAAGTCACTTCTGGAGCTGACTATAAAAATGTATCTGGCAGAGGGGTCTCCAAGAACAGGCTCCCTCTAAGGAGCAGATGTCACTTTGTCACCCCACCAGACCCTTCCTTCCAGGTCAAGGACAAGCAGCTACAGAGGACTCTTGCTCTGACACCCACAGATGCATGCCTCTCACTTCAATGCCACTCCCCCGGCGAGGTGAAATGCTTCATTTTATGAGTTATGTTTATTTCTTCCTTGCAGGCAGAGAAACAGATGAAATGACTCACTGAGGAGGGAAGCACTGGGATGCCTCCTAACCTGGGACGGCTTCCTCTTCTGCAGCGTCTGTGTTTGTCAGTGTCTCCTCTGGATCAGGCAGGCCTCAGACCTCACTAAGCTATTCCACTCAACTCTTTCTTCCCGTGCTTCCTGACTCCAAGGTATCAGGCAAACTTGTTGATCCATTTAGACTTCACTCTCACCCTGCTTGTCTCTTTTCTTCGCGCACACCAGAGCTACCCAGAACCGCGGTGATGCCTTTCCCTGGCAGGGTCAGGCCTACTGTGGCAGTGTCATGAACCTTTCCTAAGCAGGATTTGTGAAGAGGGCAAAAGCTGGCATCAGCAAGACATGTTTTGGTTTAGACGTCTCAGTAGACATTGCAGCAAGTTAACTATTGCTGGGTTCTTGTTTGAATAAAATGTACTAAAAACTAGGGCAATAAAATGGATTTTCTCTGACCTATCTCATCAAAAGAGTTTTTATTTAAAAATAATACAGAAGAGCAAATATTGTATGATTCCACCTATCTGAAGTACCTAAAATAGTCAAATTCATAGAGTTATTGTTAACGGGGGCAGAGTTACAGTTTGGGAAGATGAAAAAGTTCTTTTGGTGGTAGATGGTGGTGATGGTTGTGTAACAATGTGAATATACTTAATGTCACAGAACTGCATGCTTAAAAATGGTGAAGATGGTAAATTTTAGGTTATATATATTTTACCACAATAAAAAAAGAAAGAAGGCCAGGTGGGGTGGCTCAAGCCTTTGGGGGGCCGAGGCAGACAGATTGCTTGAGCTCAGGAGTTCAAGACCAGGCTGGGTAACATGGTGAAACCCTGTCTCTACCAAAAATACAAAAATTAGGCAGGCATGGTGGCACGCGCCTGTAATTCCAGCTACTCGGGAGGCTGAGGTGGGAGGATCTCTTGAGCTTGGGTGGTTGGGGGCTACAGTGAGCTATGATTGTGCCACTGCACTCCAGCTTGGGTGACAGAGCGAGACCCTGTCTCAAAAAATAAGAGAGAGAGAGAGAGAATCCCACAACACCAGAGTGTTACTTGTTCTCAACTTGTTCCACGTGGCTACCTACCTGCTGTGCCATTTTAGAGAGTGTGGTCATAAGGACCATCAACGGTGAGGCCCGAGTCAAGAGAAGAGGGCCAAGAACCCAGGGTTTCTGTCTTCCAGTGACTGATATGCCTCTATAGATGTCACGAGGTGTGTTCTGCAGGGTGGCCTCAGTGACAAGATCCCACTTTGCCTATGCCCCAGGCCTACAGGAGGAAGAACTGGGATGGGAAGGAAACTCAGAGAGGAGCTAAGCTCGGAGAAGAGGGAGGAGATGGGCAGGGGAAAGCCCCCACACAAACCCAACTCTTTGGTTAAACGTCATCTGATTTCTTTATACTTGCATGAGTAATACTTGCATCCTTCTTTATCTTCCCTCACACCTGGCAAGTCACACGTGAATGACCAGTTAGCATTCCTTCCATAATGTAGTATTCCAGAGCTGGGGTGGTTCAGATCTTTTCTTAGGCTCACGATTTGCTTTTAGGCATTTAAATAGGATATAGCTTTTTCCTGCTGCTGTTGGCATGCTGTCTGCAGAGAAACAGCAGTTACTGCCCAAGCTGAAGCTTGCCCCAGACCTGGCCTAGTCCTCGCAGTTCATGTGGACACAAATCACCTCTGAGACTCTGAGGCTGGCCTTGAGTCAGACAGATAAACTCCTCTCTGTGCTGTCCAGCACCCCCAGCCAGCACCCCAGGCCAGGATGGGATTCTTATGTCCCAGGGCTGGACGTTTGATTACTCTTATTATCTTAGCTTGCTTTGGCTATAAATTTTATTAGTGGCCATAAAATTATCCATCCACAGCATTTGACTCAGTGACCTCTTGCAAAAGAGAATTCCACAACTGGCGATACGCAGGGCCTAGGAGGGCTGCCTTTCCTTCACCCTCAATTTATAGCCCTACCTCCAGCACTCTGCCTTGCATGATGAGACTCTGCAAACAGAAGAGGCTGCTCATGTTTCAGGATTCCCATTATCGGGGCTCAGATCTGGCCCCTCAGCACCTGATAACTGTTTTCTTTTATCCTTTGTATTGCCAGAAGATAAAGGGGCAGGGCTGCCCGCCTGCTCCAGGAAGGACCGAGATTCAGCAAAGGGCCAACTGCATCTCTATCTGGGGTTCCTCCCTTAGATTTCTTAGTTCCAACATGTGTGGCTTAAGATAGAGATCAAGCTTTTTA
This sequence comes from Homo sapiens, assembly GCF_000001405.40. Taxonomy (NCBI): domain Eukaryota; kingdom Metazoa; phylum Chordata; class Mammalia; order Primates; family Hominidae; genus Homo; species Homo sapiens. The sequence continues at coordinate 245,409,222 of NC_000001.11, read as the reverse complement.
AAAAGAGTCTCCTAGAAGAGGTGATATGGTCCCACCATGAAGCTTGCAGTTTTGCACATATGCATGTGAATTCACCTTGCAGGTATGCTGGATCTCAATACTTATTCCTCAGTGATGTTTTGGGGGGTGTTTTCAGCGACATAGTCAGGGTGTATAATGAAACAAGGAGTCCAGTTGACATGATGAGATCAGCTTCAGCCTCAGAGGCCTTTGAGGATGTGAAACAGGTGGGCTCATAGATCATCATTATCACCATTGCCACTTTTGAGCACTTACCATGAGCGGGCTTCTGTTCTGAGAGCTTTATTTGTATTGACACATTTAATACTGACAACAACCCTGTGAAGCAGGCACAACTGCGATCGAGTAAGAGCTTCAATTCCGTCTGCCAGGTGGAAAAGCCCTGGAGCAGATAAGGCCTGTGGGCTTGGTTTCTCGCTACTCTTGAGTTCATATTGGGCAGCTCAGGCCCACATCATCCAGAGAATGTACGGCTCAAGTAGAGCCACCCTCTTCAGAAAATGTGCTAACAGCAAAAGATTGTATTTTAAAAAAAAGAATCATTTGGGGCCGGACGCGGTGGCTCACGCTGGTAATTCCAACACTTTGGGAGGCCGAGGCGGGTGGATCACCTGAGGTCAGGAGTTCAAGACCAGCCTGACCAATATGGTGAAACCCCGTCTCTACTAAAAATACAAAAATTAGCCAGGCATGGTGGCGTGTGCCTATAAGCCCAGCTACTCAGGAGGCTGAGACAGGAGGATTGCTTGAACCCAGGAGGCGGAGGTTGCAGTGAGCTGAGATCGCACCACTGCACTCCAGCCTAGGTGACAGAGCAAGACTGTGTTTCAAAAAAAAAAAAAAAAAAAAAAAGAATCATTTAAGAATCATTTGAATGAGTGATCATAATTAGGATTATTTGAATAACTGAGCACAATAGGCTCTCTCTATCCCGTGTTTTGTGATGTTTATGATCAAATGAAAATAAAATCAAATGGTCTGAATCTGGATGTAATTGATTTCACTTTCAATTTGCAACTCAGCAAATTCAGACTGAGTAGTCAAGATGGAATCACAACCCTAATCAACTCAACCCTGATGTCAGGGTCAGGCCAGAGGCTACTCCTAGGCCAGCTCCTATGTACAGAATCACCTGGGGGCGGCTCTTCTATTGGGCAAAGGCTACCACTGTTTCTCACTCCCAAATAGTCAACCAAGAGCCAGTGCCCCAGGAAGCATGTCTTGACCACTTGTTCCCCGCACTGAATGATCAGCGCCACCCCCTCCACAGGACTCCACTGACAGTGGACACTGTCCATGCAATCCCAGGGCCTACAGCATGTCTTGCTTTGTAACTGCCTGTTGTCAGTCTCTCTCCCCAAGTAAATAGTCAACCTTAGGACCTTAGGGACTGTGTCTGTTCTCCTTAGTATTACCAGTATAGGATGTGTCTGGATATGGAATTTATCTAATAAATACATTAATTCATACATTAATTAACAGATGTATACAAATAGGAATGGACTTAATTTAGTTGGGTTGGGGTTGTTGGAGTTTTGTTTGTTTTTAAGGGATAAAACTTTGTTTTCACTTGATTTTTAACATGGTGAATAGGGTACAGAAAGCTTTATTGAATGAACTAAGATGCTTCGGCTTATACATAATTCAATATAGTGGTAGTAAGACAAATTGCTGGATTCGGGGAAGAAAGGGCAAACAAGGAACAAAGAGAGAAAAAAGAACAAAAAGAAAAAGAGAGAAATGGGAGAAGGAAGAAAAAAGAGAAAAACAAAAAGCAATGTACACAAAGAGATGGGAAGCGGGGAGAGAAAACCAGTAATTGTTCATCTCAGTCAGTTTGAGTGTGAGATGCGACAGCCACAGCTGCAGAGCTGGAATTCTCTGGAATATGGGGCAAGTAATCATAGGAATACAGGTTCCAGGAGAGGAGAAACCAAACCCAGAGGCTAAAGGGCCCCACCCTGCCCCGGTTCTTCCCCATACCGGGCATGAGTTTCAGCTACACTCAGAGCTCTGGGGCACCAGAAGATGAAATGCACAAACTGACAAATTTAAAGACCCTGTCACAAAATTGAGCCACCCTCTTTCTTTTATCCATTTAAAAAATAGACCTGGGCCGGGCACAGTGGCTTACACCTGTCATCCCAGCACTTTGGGAGGCCAAGGCAGGCAGATCACTTGAGGTCAGGGGTTCAAGACCAGCCTGGCCAACATGGTAAAACCTTGTCTCTACTAAAAATACAAAAATTAGCCAGGCGTGGTGGTGCGCACCTGTAGTCCCAGCTACTCAGGAGGCTGAGGCAGAAGAATCACTTGAACCCGGGAGGCAGAAGCTGCAGTGAGCCGAGATCGCACCACTACACTCCAGCCTGGGTGACAGGGCAAGACTCTGTCTCAAAAAAATAATAATAAGTAATAAAATAAAATAAAAAATAGACCTAACCTTTGAAGAAAAGAGCTTGGAATTTTTGACTATTGAATACGTGCTTTATGTAACTGTTGCAGAGTGGCATTGTTTATTAGTTATGCTGCCAAGGGGAAAGACAATGAGATTAAGAGACTGAAATTAGATTAGCTGGAACTGCTGCAGCATTTAATTCTAATACACATCATGCCCTTTTCTATCCATGTTTAATCTGCCATGTCTTTCTTGTCTGTGGAGCCCATGAACATACATCTTTAGGCAGTCCCTTCCCAGGGCCTACGTCACCTCCATGTCCAAGTTCTTCACCTAAGTCTTGGCTAATGCTTGGGAAACTTTCAAGGCAACCAGCAGTGCATTATACCCTGAGCCACTCCATACCACAGCCACGAAGGAGATGCCCAAATTGGAGACAGGCTGGACCAAATTAACTTGTCACTGTAATCCTAGTGCCTAGCAAAGGGTGTGTCAGGCATCAGGCCCCTGGTAAACGTTACATTAAGTGTTAGGAACTAATTCTGGGCCTGGCTTGGTGGGAGCAACAAGGGAGGCTATGGGCGACTCATCTCCCCTCTCTTTGCCTCAATTTCCCCAGAGTGGGGAACGTGTGAGACTGCACATAGGATGACTGGAGGGCCATGCGGCTGAACGTGCCCTGTGCTTCCTAAAGTCATAATCCAGTCTAAAGCAGGACCATTTACAGATATTCCCATTACATCTCTAAAAAATGCCCCGACTTAACCTTTGAGTGGCCTTTGTGCAAAAACATACAAACATATCAAAAATGACAAAAAAGAAATTCCCTACCAAACTGGGAAAAAATTCCCAAACTGTCATTGGTGAACAAGAATTGTTTCAGAGTCAGCTGATTGTTCCAGAGTAATGCAATGGCTTACATGGTTCCAGTTTCGACTTGACACCAAACCTTGTATTCTGTTTGCCAACTGCAGAAATACCAAATCCTACACAATTCAGTAAGCAATTTTTAAAAATGGAGCTGGAAAAGCCCTTAGATCTATTCCAGGCCAAGTTCCATGTGGAAACATGAAGACACAGAAGCCCAACTTGGTGGGATGAGTGATCCTGATTCACACCCCTAGTTCACGCCACAGCCCGTTAATTGCAGCACTTATTCATGCATACAAAAAAAAAAAACAACATCAATAGGACAGCAGAACTCTGAAATGACTGAAAATCCTAGAAATACAGAGAGGGAGAGTCTCTGTAGGTTAGCCATAAGCCAGGGGCTCAGTTCTACCCAAATGACCAGCTGTGGGACCTTAATAAAGTCAATTAACCTCTCTGCATCCTAGTTGCAAAATCACAGATTTGCCATAAGGAATATTAACTAAAAACACTCTCAGGCATCTTTCTCCTCAAATAAAAATGGCTTAAGAATCAAAACCAATGCTCTAAAGCCTCTAATTGCAAACCTGCACACGGGTAGGCAAACATTTGTGGGCTGATCTTATGAAGATATTTGAAATTGTTCTTCTGCCTATTCCCTTTGGAGGTTCGGATCCCTTACTCCATGAGGCTGATCATCTAGACTTTCACATCATTCCTACATGTCCAGAATTCAAAGAACAGCTTGTCACAGTTGCTTCCCGGGAAACTCTGTTTCATTAATCCTAATTAGGACTGATCCTAATCTCGTCACCAGACCCATGACAGACTTTGCATCTGATGGTTTTCTAAACTGGTTTACCCAGGGCATTTGGAGGATTAATAAAATATGCTTATTTACATGTGTGTGTTTTCATTTTCTATTTCACTAGTAAAAATACCATTAAGAATGCTTTAAGAAGTGTAGTAATGTTTTGACTATTCTCCAAGTCCTTCCTTGAACCTGAATTCTCAAATTTAGGGAGATGGAAAAATCCTGGACCTCAGAAGATACAAAACTAAACTCCAAATTCTTTTTTTGCTGTTGTTGGATTTCTTGAGGTCTATACAATTTTCTCATCACTTCCCTGCTCTCTGCATCATTAGCACAGAGACAAAGCTCTTCTGTGAAAGTTGACACCAGAGAATTGTACCATCTCATTATGTCTTCACTAAGTAAATATTCTGCTTTTTTCCCCTGTTGTGGCTGTAACATTCCAGCCAGTGTCCTAATTTCTCCAGTTGGTGGTTCTGCTCAAATTTCTCCTCTGTTCATTTAAGACGCTGGTTTTCTCTTCTATTCTGCATGCTATGGCATTTCCCAAAGCTTGGCTATACTTTCCACTTGTTAGAACTTTATAATATGGGTCAGGCAAAGTCAATACCAACTAGCTTATTGTGAGGATATCTAACGAGATTCCCCGAGCTAATAAACCGGAACCAGCGAGATTGGCATTCCCTGACACCTCAGGGATCCCCAGCCCTGAGGGTGCTCTATTCTCAGAGTTGGACCCGGGAGTTCATCTCTTCCATATCTGCCCTTTTGTTACAAACCTTGAGTCCCTGGAGTCTGCTATTTAAAATAGAGCCAATCTTTTGGGATTCTTGTCTTTCATACACATTTGAAAAGCTATTCATCTAATCCTGAGTTAAAAGACTCTACGCTTTATAAAAAAAAAAAAAAATCAGTCTTGTTGCAATTCCTCAAAAATGAATGATCTCTTAACAACCTTTTGAGAGAAAGCAGCAACAACACCTCAGCTCAGTCTGTCCTCTTCCTTCACTGTCCCCTCAACTATGATTCCACCGCACTTAAAACAAAGGAACTTTGAAGTCTGCAGTGTTTCCATGTGTGTAGGGCAATGGTACAAAACCGTCAGCTTCTCAGATCCAGAGTCTGGAATCAATCAGGCCATCTCCAAAAAGAAGCCAGTGGCCCCAAACTACAATTTTTGATACAAATTGAGAATACGTAGCACTTGTAGTAAGCCCTTGTTAGCATGGACAACAAGCTATCTATTATGAAAGGTCAGTTCCATGAGGGCAGGAAATCAATCTTGCCTTTAGAGTAACTTTTACTTCCCTAAATAGTACCCTTAGAGTAAGTATTAAAAACTATGCTATTTGCATTTCCACAGGGCTTAACACCAGAAGTCTAAAACGTTGGCAAGAGTGAAACATGCACACATTTTGTACTTAGCTTAAGATTTAGTAGAGGTTTTTTTCCCCCAGAGCCTGAGAGGAGGCCAAAGAAACACACACACGTGGACACACACAGGCATGCAGACACACACCCCCCATGCACACACACGCATGCACGTGGACACACACACATGCGCGCGCACACACACACACCCCAGAACTGCTCTTCCAAAAGGGACGAGGCTCAAGCAGTGTTTTTCAGAAAGAATGGAAACTACTCCTTTGGGGGAAAGAATGCAAAGAAACAGCTTATGAAATATATAAAGGCACATTTGAGGATCAGTAAACATGCCCACTGAGGAAATAGAATAAAGAACCTCAAATTGGATTAGTCCTTAAAGGAACGCATCCGAAAAATGGGGTTGGAGGCTACAGAAGCTCCTTCCTTCTATAAACCTTTAAGAACAATATAACTAGTCAAGCTCGGCAGGGTGGTGTGTCCCTGTAGTCCCAACTACTTGGGAGGCTGAGGCAGGAGGATCACTTGAGCCTAGGAGTTCAAGTCCAGCCTGGGCAGCATAGCAAGACCCCATCTCTACAAAAAATTTTTTTAAAAATTAGCCAGACATGGTGGTGCACACCTGTAGTCCCAGCTACTGGGGAGGCTGAGGCAGGAGGATCATTTGAGCCCAGGAGTTCAAGGCCACAGTGAGCTACGATTGCACCTCTGCACTCCAGCATGGGCAACAGAGTGAGACCCCATTTCTAAAAATAAAAATAAATACAACAAGCCAGCTGTCTAGAATTCACTCCAGTACAGACTTACAAAATGAGGAGTTGTGTCAGATGCTAGGAGGAAAACTCTTCGCAGCCATGAGTTTTTTGATGTGTAAATACTTCTAAAGTCTAGAATCTAAACCACTATAGCCCCTAATCACTAAGTTGTAATTTCATGAATGTCCTAGACCGGCCTTAGCCCAGAATAAACCTAGTGTGTACTAAGCTTGCCCTTTTTTCAGTTGATTTTCCATCCAAGGCAGCCTTCAGTATGACATATCTATAACAATCCTATGTCTTTTATATTTCAGGCTCATTCAGCTTAAAATATTTCTTGCTATTGTCCCCTGCGTACATTTAGACACGTCAAACTCTGTCTCCTGAATTTGGGTTCACGGATCGCACTCACTCTAGTTTACAGACTATCAATTTTTAACTAGTCATTGGGAAGGAACAGGCAGTATTTATGAAAGATGCTTTATCTTCAAATTCTAGAAAAACTTCCCTCCAATCCAGGTCACCATGGGAATCGTTGGCCACATCCAAGGGTCAAACATAAAAAGGCAGCAGTGAGAATGAGAGGCGTGGGCTCTGTATCCAGCGAGCCTGCCAAACCTTGCAGACAGGAGGGACTCAGATGAAGGCACCCAGTTTAAAGGAACTTTGTTCTGTTTGTGCTTTGTTTAAATCCCAGAGTGGGAGATGACCTACAATAAGCCACTTGAACCTTTTTTCTCTGTAATTCTCCAGCTGAAATACAGTAAGTGGGAGTTCTTTCAATACTAGCTATGCAAGCCTTTTCAGAAGCTAAATTAGAATACTCCACAGCTACCAACGTGGAGAACAGCTGCTCAACAACAGGCTTGCAAGCTGAGGGCAGGCCAGCCCAGCCTCACCCTACTGCAGTCCCATGAGGCCTAGGGGAGCCTCAATCCTCCTTACCCACAGGCCAGGAGCCCCAGCCCTGCAAGCACTGACTCTCTCTTCCCTGTTGACTGCTGCTATTTGCAGTGGGGTGTTTTTTTTGTTGTTGTTGTTGCTGTTTCGGGGGTTTTTTTTGGTGGTGTTTTTGTGTGTGTGTGTTTCTTTGTTTGTTTGTTTGTTTGGAGATGGAATCTCGCTCTGTCTCCCAGGCTGGAGTGCAATGGCTCTATCTAGGCTCACTGCAACCTCCGCCTCCCGAGTTCAAGCAATTCTCATGCCTCAGCCTCCTGAGTAGCTGGGATTATAGGCATGTGCCACCACGCCCAGATAATTTTTTGTATTTTTACTAGAGATGGGGTTTCACCATGTTGGCCAGGCTGGTCTCGAACTCCTGACCTCAAGCAATCCGCCCGCCTCGGCCTCCCAAACTGCTGGGATTACAGGCGTGAGCCACCGCGCCCAGCCTGCTGTTTGCACTGTTGCTTATCTATTGGAAGCTGGAGTAATAAGAACAAACTCAGCTAAACTAAATTGGTCCTTTGTTTGCCATTATCATAAAAATTTTATGTAGGAACTAATAAAAACATGCTTTACGTGTGCAGTTACATGGGTTTACAAGGGCAATAATATCCAGCAAGTTACACCCATAAATTCAGTTATAGACACCTAGGAATAAATATGTTATCTCTCCCAGTGTTTTTGCTTATTGGAAGGAAACTGTGAACACAGATGCTTATGGCTGATCTGCGGCTTCTAAGGGCCCTTATGTCTCCCTGGATGCCTGTGAGATAAGAAAGGTCCTTTCAGAAGTTTCTGGATAATTTTCACACCTCTTTAGCCCCTTCAAAACTCTATATTAATCAGACCTCCAATCCATGTAAATGGAAAGCTTTTTACAAAGATTTCAAAAAACAAGTCGCTTTTGAAGTGAGTTCAGGATTTTCTTAGAATTTTTAAAATTAAACAAAAAGATTCAATTCTCATCTCAACTGGGAACTTGAAGCAGATTTACAATATATTTAATTAAAGAAGCTTTAATGAACTCCAAACCTAATCAAGAAAAAAAATGGGATCATTGGCTATTCAGCTTTCCCTTCCGTAATTCACTCTAAAATACACTGAATGAGTTGGGTTTTTTTTGGTCTTTTTTTATGTATTTTCTTTCCTTCTAGAGCTGAGCTTTCCAACAGAAATATAATGGGAGCCACAAATGCAAACCACATATGGAATTTGGGGTTTTCTAGTAGCCACATCAAAAAATTAAAAAGAAACAGGTGAAATTAACTTTAATAACATTTCATTTAACCCTGCATATCCAAAATATTATCATTTCAACATGTAATCAATATAAAAAAGTCTACTAATGAGATATTTTACATTCTTTTTAATGTACCAAGTCTTTGAACTCTAATATGTATTTTATACAGACCAGTCACATTCAGTTCAGACTAGCCACGTCTCAATGCTCAGTAGCCCCATGTGGCTGGTGGCCCCCATGCTGGATAGCAGGGGTGTAGAGAATCCTCAAGTAGCCAAGGTAATTTCAAAAAAAAAAAAAAAAAACTCACTATCTATGTGATTGTTTTATGCCCTGTGGGCATACATCCCTCAGGTTATAATTATGAATTTAGAATACTAGAAACTCAGAAAATATTAAAATTATATGCCATTTTAAGAGTCCAATTTGTTCTTGTCTGTAACCCATGGTAAAATAGGCGAATGTAAAGTAAATCAGGTGAAAAGGATAAATACTTAGGGCAGCCAAAAAGAAAGCCTATGTCAAAATTATCAGAGTCACATTAGAAAATGTTACCAGTCTGACCATCTACCAGCCTTAGGGTCCCCGCAGCTTGTTAAATACAGACCACAGTGAAATATCTTCTATATAAAATTGCACCCTCAGAAAATGAGCAGCCAATTTTCCTTCCATTTAATTTTTTTTCTTCAAAGAAGCCATGTACCAGATTTCTATAGCCTTTAAAAAGCAGTGTCTTCTCTCAGTCTTTCACCATTACTCTTTTTCTTAGCGTAGATACTAGAAATATCTATAAAGGTTATTTTGAAAGTAGGGGATTATACTAAGAAAGAAAGGTACTGAACATTGGTATCGTAGCTCTGATTTTTTTTAAAGTAAACTTCGGCAAATTATTCAGCTTCTCTGTGATTAAATGTTACCATCTGAAAAATCATCTCAATAATTCTAAGTCTGTATGATAGCCTGCGAGTGTTAGGCATAGTTTTTACTTGATGTGTTATTATATTTAATAATGCATATTGGTGCATCTTAAGCAAGTTTTTCTGGAGGGCAGGGACCAGAATTGCTGAACATACCCTTTACCAAGCTAACCAAAGCTCTGCATGCATAGAAATGCTTAATTATCATGCGTGTTGCTTCTCATAAGATGCATGAAAGTGCTGAGATAAGGGCTGTAAGTAAATGTAAAGGTATTTCTGTTTCTAGATTCAGAAGAGTGTGTTGTCTTGATATGAAACGAAGATTCTCAAAATGATCCTTTCTTCCTCCTCAAGGATGAAGGGACGATCTCCTTGGCAATAAGTCGGATTGACAACAGCGGAATTTGAAAATGATCTCAAAGGATCTGATCTGTTTTTGTATGATTTAAATCAAACAAAGAAAAGTCAACCATGTACATAATGTACATCCAAAATTTCTCACCCCCATCCCTTCCACCATACACAGGAAAACACTTCACATAGAAGGGGAGTGAGTCTGGACTCCAGAGAACCTAGCCTTCATTTTCAAGTGAACGAAAGGATGATTGTAAATGAGATGTACCCTAAATAAGAAATACCTCTAACAACTTTGAATAAGCTAATAAGATGACAGATAACAATAATAATGGTACAGTTAAAAGACCCTCAAAAAGAGACACGACAACGAAATGCAATCTGATCCTAGACTGGACCCCTCACTGGAGGGAGACAATGCTGTAAAGGACATTATCAGGTCAACTGAAAACAAATTGGAACATGCATGATAGATTCCATAAGGGTACTCATCAATGTTAATTTTACTGAAGCTGATAAGTGTACTCTGGCTACGTGACAGCATATCTCATTTCCCAGGAAATATGCATCGAAGAGCTTCAGGATAAAGGCTAATGGTATACGCATCTTACTCACAAATGGTCCAGAAAAAATAGTTAATTGCTAACGGAGTACAGTGAATAAGGGTGTCCTTTGTACTATTTTTATTCTTGCAACTTTTCTGTAAGTTATTTCCAGGAAATTATATATATATAAAATTTATAATTTTATAAAAATTTTATTTTAGAATTCTATCATTTTATAAAAATTATAATTTATAATTTTTTGAGGACTTTACAGAGGGCAATTCTTTGTCCTCTTTGCCTAATTTCAATAGCAAGCCCCTGGACTTTTGCGTAGAAAATGCAGAGTGATGACTGGGCTCACATCTGGTAAAGGGCTCGCCTCTCATCAACCCACCCCTCCACTGGCTATGAGCTTGGGTCCCTCTGCTTGACTTCCCCATAGAAAGAAGCCTGGGCTTTGGGTGCTGGGTCTCAGGATCATCCCAGGTGTCTGTCACCTGCTCTCATTTCTGTGGACAGACATACAGGAGGAGTCTCTGCCAAAGGTCAAAGCAAGCTTTACGGTGGCTCCACAAGCTGATAAGGCTCTCTGTAAGGAGATAACCACAGGCTCCATGAACCCTGGCTGCCTACACCTCCGTCGCAGGCAGCCGGGATTACTTTATCGGGGGTCAAGGGACCTGTGGGAACCACCTGGATCAAAGAGTAAAGGAACTGGTTTGTGAAGGTATTTTTATTGCTTCCCACCACCTCACCTCCAGAACTCCCTGAAATGACCTAATCCTTCAGTTTAAGATGGAAACTGACAAATAAAAGAGAAACATGGAAGCACAGTAGAGCCAAACCCTAGAGGTCAACAAATCCACCTTCTCTCCCGAGGGAGTAGTATTTTTCAGGGTATTCATTCAGCCCTTTTTGAGATTCTCCAAAGATGGAAAGCTCCCTACTTCACAAGGCAACACATCCCATGGTTATATAACTCTTCTCATTAGAAAGTTCTTTGCAAGTCAGCCAAAAATTACTTCCCTAAAATGCAAGAAATTTGAGAGCAGGAAACTTGTCCTCATCTGGACCTCGTCCACATGCCCTAGAGAGCAGGTGCATAAGAAATAACTTAGAAATGAACAAATCAATTAATGGATAGTCTATTCATTGGCTCCTATTCTATTCTCAGGAGCAATAAAAATCATGTCCGCTGTCTCTTCCAAACTACAGTGTCTCAAACATTTGAAGACACTGGCATGTTCCCCTTCTGTTTTCTCTGTCTGATCCAGCCCCAAATCCCCCAAATCTCATAACTATGCCACTTACTACACAATTTTAAAAACATCATTAGTTATTGCCACTGACTTTCCTTCACTCATTCATTCATTTATTCATTTTTCTACAAGGAATCTGTAGTTTAAAAAGTGGGAGAGTATGGTAAATACAATAAAGTTAACAAGCTAGAAATGAACATGTGGGCCAGGCGCAGTGGATCATGCCTGTAATCCCAGCACTTTGGGAGGCGGAGGAGGGTGGATCACCTGAGGTCGGGAGTTCGATACCAGCCTGACCAACATGGTGAAACACCATTTCTACTAATAATACAAAAATTAGCTGGGTGTGGTGGTGCATGCCTGTAATCCCAGCTACTTGGGAGGCTGAGGCAGGAGAATTGCTTGAACCCAGGAAGTGGAGGATGCGGTAAACTGGGATCATGCCATTGCACCCCAGCCTGGGCAATAAGAGTGAAACTCTGTCTCAAAAAAAGAAAAAAAAAAATGAACATGTGGAAAACAGGATCAAGAGGAGAAATCTACCAGCCTGGGCAGTGTGGCAAAACTCCTATCTGTACAAAAAATACAAAAATTAGCTGGGCGTGGTGGCGCATGCCTATAGTCCCAGCTACTCGGGAGGCTGTGGTGTGAGGATTGCTTGAGCCTAGGGTGGTAGAGGCTACAGTGAGCTGTGATTGTGCCACTGCACTCCAGCCTGGGCAACAAAGTGAAACCCTTTCCAAAAAAAAAAAAAAAGGAGTAGAAATGTAGCATGTCAAATGAAAATCTTAGACAGTTCTTATGATTGATAACAAAACTTGATTCTAACATTCCTGGCACGGAGGTGCATAGGGAAACATCATGTATTTCACAACTCCTTACTAAGAGGATAAAAATGACTAATTCCTTAGGAGAGACAAGGTTAGTCCCTGTGTCAAGGACAGATGTCTTGTGTAGGGCAGTGTAAGCCAGGAAAACTGAACCATGTAATGGATAATTGGCATCTATATTCATGGTTCATAGCAGACGCTAAAGCAAAAGTCAAATAGTTGTTGTTTTTTTTTTGTTTTTTGTTTTTTTTTTGAGATGGAGTTTCACTGTTGTCGTTGCCCAGGAATGCAGTGGCGCCATCTCAGCTCACTGCAACCTCTGTCTCCCGGGTTCAAGCGATTCTCCTGCCTCAGCCTCCTGAGTAGCTGGGATTACAGGCGCCTGTCACCACTCCTGGCTAATTTTTGTACTTTTAGTAGAGACAGCATTTCTTATAATAATTTGCAATAAAGGTTTGAAGCCATATGATTAAGACACAGTTTTGAGTGATTATAAAAATGATTATGTTGATGTTGTCCCAATGCATACATATTTTATTTGGTATTTTAATTTTATTCAAAGGTATAACTTAGAATAGACAGATAATTTGTGAGTCATCCTTTAAATGACTGCCCCTTAACAAAACTGTTCCTCTTGTGGGATTTGGAGCACCGGAGAGAAGTCTGTCTAACATTATATTCCCTTGTAAGAGTCTGAAGTACACTGATCCCATGTTTTTGATTAGTGGCTTCATAAATTTTGGAAACCATATAAACAAAAAGTCAGTATTCTGTTATAAAAATAAGGACCCTAAGCAAAGACGTCACAAGCCTGCTGCCAAACAGAAACAGGCCACAGAGGAACCTACTCCATAAAGCCAGGATTTTCTAGAGGACATGGTTTTGGGAGAGCAGAGGCTGCCACAGTTGTGAATTTTTTACAACACCATCGCTAGGAAGAAATTTCCCCCCCTGTTCTACAGATTAAGAAACTGAAGCCGAGGCTTTCAGAGGTTTGCCAAAGGTCACAGAGCTAGAAGTAGCCAAGGAAGGATGTAAATGTCAGGCTGTCTGGCTCCAAATTTTGCCCTTTGCCTATTCTATCACCTGGACTCCCTGGAGCTCACAGTGCAGTGAATAAATACAATGTCATACGGGTAGGCTGACGTGATTATGACACTTTGGGGGGTATATCAGATTGCCCCAAGAGTAAAGTCAGGTCTAGACAGAAGCATGCTGGTTAAGATTTAAATACCAGCTTGCCAGGAAAAAAGGTTCTGATTTCATAGCATCTGCCAGTTTCTGAAGTGTAAATCCTCCCACCCTGGCACACGCTTGGGCTCAGCACCCCGCCGGGTCTATCCGGGTCTATCCAGCATACCTTCAGGTCTAGAGGGCTGCGTCCAGTAGTGGCATCTGAGAAGGTCTACGTGGCACCTGGTTTGCTCTGCAGCGAACAGGAAAGTTCCCTGTTTTCCTTCACTACCTCCACTACTACCACCTAACTTGTTTTTGAAAGTTATTTCATAATTTGAGCTGTTTCTGGAGAAGGAAAGGGAAAGAAAGAATAGATTATATAAGAACCAAATCAAGCAAATCAAGAACCCAGGAAAAAACCCAGAGCCAACCTACTCCTAAGTAATATCCATCCTGGAAAGCCAGAGCATCCTAAAACACTCCAATAGTGAGTTTATTTTCAACATCGACATGCACTCAAATCTACTCACATTTGAACCTAGTATTACATTATGATTGCTCAATGTTGGAGCCAAAATCAAACTGCTTACTTTTGAACTAGCTCTATAATATTGCAGACATAGGCGAATGAAGAAACAAAACAATGACTTTGTTTAAGAAGGAGTAGGTCCTGAATAAATGCTTCTAACTCAGTAATTTCACCTACTAAGAAAACACCTTGGCTGGGCGTGATGGCTCAGTCCTGTAATCCTAGCACTTTGGGAGGCCAAGGAGGGTGTGATCACCTGAGGTCAGGAGTTCGAAACCAGCCTGGCCAAGATGGTGAAATCCCATCTCTACTATAAATACAAAAAATTAGCCAGGCGTGGTGGCGAGCACCTGTAATATCAGCTACTCGGGAGGCTGAGGCAGGAGACTCACTTGAACCTGGGAGGTGGAGACTGCGGTGAGCCGAGATCGTGCCATTGCACTCTAGCCCGGGCAACAAGAGTGAAACTCCATCTCAAAAAAAAAAAAAAAAAAAGAAAGAAAAAAACTTGAAGGTACTTTTTAATGCTTTATATTTTTATATTTTTATTTTTTATTTCTTGAGACAGAGTCTTGCTCTGCTGCCCAGGCTGGAGTGCAGTGGTGCAATCTTGGCTCTGTGCAACCTCTGCCTCCCTGGTTCAAGCAATTCTCCTGCCTCAGCCTTCCAAGTAACTGAGACTACAGGCCTGTGCCACCACGCCTGGTTAATTTTTATATTTTTAGTACAGATGGGATTTCACCATGTTGGCCAGGTTTGTCTTGAACTCCTGACCTCAGGTGATCTGCCTGCCTTGGCCTCCTAAAATGCTAGGATTACAGGCATTAGTCACGGCACGCAGCCTGCTTTCCAAATGTTTAAAAAAATACTTCTGGTTAAAGTTAGTGGATTAAATACATGCATGGAGCACTGCTCTCTCCTGAAACCCTAATAAAATGACAATAAAGAATTTTTAAGATGGCAGAAACTCACGACGACAGAGAAAATGGGAGAGGAAGAAACTGCAACAGGATTTTAACAGCTGGAGCCAAGACAGGTGAGCAGTAACTGACTTAGCAGATCCAAAGATGAGTCTCAAGCTAGTGATAGGCAAAGCTGCAAACAACACCGTTCAGACCTCAAAACCCCCAAAAGGCTCAAGAGTTGGTGGCCCCAGATATTGCAGGCAGTGAGGACAACGGTGGAGCTAAGTCCAAGGGGACTGATTGCAATTCTGTTTAAGAAGCAGTTCGAATCCCTGACCCCTTCCCCTCCCCCAGGTAGCTGGGTGACTGTACCTCCCCATCTGGCAGAGATTAAAGGTTTGTTCTTGGAGAGAATAACACCCAGGGCATCTAGGCTAGAACACACTAGGTTCAGTTAGAAGCAGGAAACCAAAAACAAGGGGGCTGAGTCAAAGTTTACACACTAAATTTGAAATCTCCCTTGTCTTCTTCCTCTTAGCTCCCAAAACCTGGCAGCCAAAATTTACACTCAGCAAGCTGGAAATTAGAAGAGTCTTTCCTGGGAGATCTCAACAACTCAAAAGAAAAGACCTAAAGAAACGGAAGAAAATGGCTTCTTCAAGTCACCACACAGGTAAGACCACACTCACCAATCCCTTCCATGCTCCTCCTTGAGTTATTCTGCGTCTCACTCCCAAATTACAATCAGTCAGCCAAGGATCACCAAATATTTGAGGAAAACATATGATACAAAAGAGAAGAAAACAAAACAACAGAAGCCATCTTTGCGGAAGGAGAAACAATACAGGAAGAATAAAAGTGAAACAGAATGAAACAAAACCAAGTATCAAACATTCTGAGAGATCAATGAAAATATTGCATCCATGAAGCAAGAACAGAATGCCATAAAAAAGGAAGATGCAGAGACAAAGTAACAACAAAGAGAAGCTCTTGGAAATTAAAATTATTACAGCAGAAAAGAACATCTCAACCAATTATTTACAAGATGAAGTTTTTACAAAGTTTGACAAATAGGAAAGAAAAGACAAATTTTTTTTTTCTTTCTTTTAAGACAGAGTTTCACTCTGTTGCCCAGGCTGGAGTGCAGTGGCGGGATCTTGGCTCACTGCAGCCTCTGCCTCCTGGGTTTAAGAGATTCTCCTGCCTCAGCCTCCCGAGTAGCTAGGATTACAGGCATCTGCCATCACGCCCAGCTAATTTTTGTATCTTTAGTAGAGGCGGGGTTTCACTATGTTGGCCAGGCTGGTCCCGAACTCCTGACCTCAGGTGATCCACCCACTATGACCTCCCAATGTGCTGGGATTACAAGCATGAGCTACCGCACCCAGCCCCCCAAAATTTTTAAACTAGACAATAACACCAAATAATAGGAGTTACAAAAACAATAAAAAAGAAAATGAAAGGAAAAACAGTGTTAAAAAATAATTAAAGAATATTTCATAGAACAGGCCAACATGAATTTGTACACCGAAAGGACTGCCAAGTGCCAGCACAAAGGATGCCATTAGCTCCACGCCAAAAGACATCCCTGTGACATTTCTCAACACTAAAGAGACAGGCTTCAGGAGAGGAACGGGCAGGGAAAGGGGAAGGGAGAGGGAGATGTGTTACATAAATGATCCAGATTCAGACTTTTCAACAGCAACATCAGAAGCTCTAAGACCATAGAGAAATGCCTTCACAATTCTGAGGAAAATGACATCTAACCTAGAACTCTAATATCAAGCCAAAAACCAACCATCAAGTGTTAAGGCAAATTAGAGAGATATTTCAGATCCAAGGTATCAAAAAATGTATCCCTTTTGTACATTTAAATGAAAAGCCACATTACACAGCTCAGCTGCAAACAGCCTCTATGTACTCAGAGTAATATTTTTATATAACCTTTACATAAATCATAATATAGAATATTGATCCAACCCAAATCATAACAAATTGTTAGGGCAATGGGAAGACAAGAAGTGAATATTTCTGTGGCGTAGGATTGGGGTGGGTGGTGGCGAAAGAGAACTACCCCTTCATGTTTCGTAATTACGCCGAAGGCCGGTGATTCTCAAACTCTTTCGTTTCAGGAGCTCTTCATAATCTTAAACATTACGGAGAGCCCCAGAGAGCTCTTCCTTCATGGTTCAATTTTTTTATCTTTTTTTTTTTTTCAATTTGCTTTGTTTTCTATGTATTTATTGGGAATTCCATCCAAAACTCTCCTTCTTGTTCTGTAACTCTGCTCTCGAAATGTTCCAGCATAGGAGTTATAAGAATCATTCCATCTTTCTGAAGAGTTCTTTCCCAGGGTCTCCTGATCTGCTCCAGTCTGGACTGGTTGCTCTGGCATAAGAGCAACCGTAAATACACTATATACCTATTGATAGTCACCATACTAGAAATTAAATGAAAACTTTAAAATATAGATGCATTTATTTATTTTAAAATAATAAACCCATCACATGTTGGCATAAATATTGTATGAAATGTAATTATTTTCTAAACAAAAAATTAGTAAGAAAAGTGGCATTGCTGTTTTACATTTTCACAAATCTCTCTCTTTTTTTTTTTTTTTTTTGAGTCAGGGTCTTACTTTGTCACTCAGGCTGGAGTGCCGTGGCATGATCTTGGAAGGCATGACCGTGAACCCCTGGCCCCAAGTGATCCTCCCAAATTGGCCTGCCAAAGTGCTGGGATTACAGGTGTGAGCCACCATCCCCAGCCCACAAATCTCTTTAATGAGTTGCTTATATTATTTTGGTTATGTGGCTTATGTCTGGATATGTGGTTTCCGTTGAGATATCTAAAGAAAACCCAGCCTCATAAAGACAAGTAGTTGGAATATGGAGGAGTATTTGAATAGGAGTATTCAGATAACTGTGTACACTGTTCTTAGAAACTACACTAAAAATCAACAAGTGGTAGTTTCTTAAAATTTCACTGAAATGAGCAATCTGAAACTATTAAATATATTAATAAACTTTTGGTATCACATTGTACTAAAATCAATTAGGCTACCTTGTACTTTGTATGGATCTTATGTTGCAAGATTTTGTAACATAATGCAAAGGTCATTTGGAAAATACTGGTTTACTGAGTTATCTGTATCTTCCAGACGTTGACCCATTCCATAATATAGTATCAAAAAATCACATTTGTTAATATCACCACAAATCTTACCAGAAAAATATTTTAGTATTGGAAAGCTTTCAAGCCCATGGTAGTAGAATCAAGTTTTCAAAATTTTATCTTTTAATTGAAAGCTCAAAATTTTATGGTGGTTTTTTTTTTTTTTTTTTTTTTTTTTTTTTTGAGACAGGGTCTTGTTATATTGCCCAGGTTGGTCTGGAACTTCCCCAGACTTGAGTGATCCTCCTGCCTCAGCCTCCCAAATGGTTTGGACTAAAGGCATGTACCATCATGCTAGGCCAAAATTTTATGATTAATAAACAAACCAAAGGAAAATAACCATTAGTTATTTTCCTTTAAGTGGCAAACTTTCATTCCTTTTGAGAAAATGTCTTCATAATACCTACTTCTCAATAACCATAGTTTGTTGGTTTGTTATTCCTTCAAGTAAAAATGTATTCTACTGGCAGAGGGGGAAAGGCTAGTAGAGCTTGCAACTAATGCAACTGACCATCCTATGCCACCCAAGTACTTCACATGTCAACATACATTTTTTGATTCAATAAAATTATTTTCACTGCCTCATCAAATAAACTCAAGTAGGCTGGGCGCAGTGACTCACACCTGTAATCCTAGCACTTTGGGAGGCTGAGGCCAGTGGATCACGAGACCATCCTGGCCAACATGGTGAAACCCCGTGTCTACAAAAATACAAAGAAATTAGCCAGGCATGGTGGCGGGCACCTGTAGTCACAGCTACTCAGGAGGATGAGGCAGGAGAATCACTTGAACCCGGGAGGCGGAGGTTGCAGTGAGCCGAGACTGCACCACTGCACTCCAGCCTGGCGACAGAGTGAGACTCTGTCTCAAAAATAAAAAATAAAATAAAATAAACTCAAGTAACACTGTACTTCTTAAAAAAAAAAAAACCCTCCAAATATCCAAATATATGACAATGAGTAATAGCATGACCAGCATAGCTTGGCGTGACCACCTTGATTCATGCTGAGAAGCCAGCAGTTTTATCCATCATTGCCTTTGCGCCATTAGAGCAAATGTCAACACCGTAAAAAAGGCAGATAGCGTCGGAGTATTACATGAAAATAGTTTCGATCTCATAAACCCAGTGAAAGGGTCTTAGGGACTCAGATGGTCTGTGGAGCACACTTTGAGAACTGCTGTAATAGGAAACTTTAACTAAGTAAATCAAGAAGGAGCAACCTAAGAATGTTAAAATAGGGAGATGAATATTAATGAGCCTTGGGAAAGGAGGAAAGGCCTCACTGCATTCACAGTGTTGGGCTGGCGTCTCTCATATCAAGTCTTATCAAATGACTTAGATCTTTAAATTATGCGCATGTACCATTTAATTTAAAAACTAATAGAAAAAACCAACATTTAAAAAAATGGATACTTCATAGGTAACTTAAGCATTCCTCCAAAACATAATTTACTGCGTCAAATATTCAAGGGAGGACAATATCTTTTCAGAGGGTAAACATGGTTATATGCAGTGAGCCTCAAAATATAATTTCATTTTTAATGTTGATGCATTATAAGCTATGGATCCCTATTAGCCAATTCTAGTAATAAAAATGGACAAAATTTAACTCATTCCAGTTCTGCCAGGAAGACTGTATACTTGCATGCACATGTGAGTGTGTGTACATGGAAAATGGGCTTTTTTTTTTTGGCCAGGAGTGGTGGCTCACGCCTGTAATCCTAGCACTTTGGGAGGCCGAGGTGGGCGGATCACCTGAGGTCAGGAGTTCAAGACCAGCCTGGCCAATGTGGTGAAACCCTGTCTCTACTAAAAATACAAAATTAGCCGGGCATGATGGTGCATGCCTGTAATCCCAGCTACTCAGGAGGCTGAGGCAGGAGAATTGCTTGAACCCAGGAGGTAGAGGTTGCAGTGAGCCGAGGCCATGCCATCGCACTCCAGCCCAGGTGACAAGAGTGAAACTCTGTCTCAAAAAAAAGAAAATGGGCTTTTTTGAGAGTGGACACAGTGTGAACCCTGAAATCATTAAGCACTAGAGCTAACAAAACGGAACTTTCCTGGCAAGAGAGAGAGAGGGAGAGACAGATTGAGAGAATGACATTCTTTCTCTGGATAAGCTTTTACTGCAAGCCTGACTTCCTTCCAACATCAGGGACGCTGCTGTCTTCTGCAATGCTTACTGTCCCAGAGTCAATTACAGGAGACTGGCTTCAGGCAAAGGTGCGCACAGTTCAAATCTCACCCTGACTTTCCTTGAAATAGTCCTTGGGCTGGTCCAGTGTTCAGAAACAACCCACCAATTGGATGTCTTCCACCCAACAGACTCAGAGCAGCATTGCTAATAGAGATACAATTGTAGACAAATTGAGTGTAAGGGTCAGATTGATCACAGTGCTGAAAGGGCTATGGGAGAAGGGCTGTTAGCCCTTTCCCCCTTAAGGTACAGTTTAGGCACCACCTTTCCAGCATGACTTAGATTCACTTCTCTCTAGGGAAGGCGGGAGGCAGACGTAGAAGGAACGAGGGACCTACTCAGTCACACTCCTGTTTATGGGGAAAATATCCTGGGCCAGATTAATTAACATAGTCATTATCTTGGCAGTTTTAAATGCTAACACAAGATGAGAAAGAAAGAGGAAATCTGGCCCAATCAGGACTGGGACGTCAATGTGACTTAGCATTGCAAGTAGCGGCTTTTGCTTCAGGAATTAAAAGTGCATCCTGCAAGTGCTACTTTAGTTTCACTTTTCATCAAAGGAAAAATATTTTCCATGTGAGCTATTTTATGTACTTTTCCTATTCCTTCCATCCAGGAAGAAGTATCCGTCAGAAAGAAAGTGGTCATGTAAATCTTCTCCTTAGAACGTTTTTTAAAAAATACTATGATAAAAAAAAAACCTGACTTGTTCATATCATGGTCCTTTCTCCAATGAGATCAATTTTCTCCAAATACTAATGGAAAGTTTCTGACCCAAAACACCTCTGTCACGATAGCTTCCACGTCACTTCTGAGGACAGCGCTCGTCTCCCAGAGATGAGCCACCAGGGAGAGAGGTCGCAACTCTGCCGCTCACTTTCCTAAGGGGAAGGCTGGAACCAGAGGTTTCAAAATGGCCTATTCTGGCCTCAAAAATAGAAGCACGCATGAGAACAAAGTTAGTAAACGCAGCCCAGGACTGTGAACGTTTCTTGGTGAATGACCAGAGGTTGGGGGAAGTGGATGAGGGAGAGAGATGGGACCTGTACTTAGCCTTGACGCCTTCCTATTCTCCCCAAACTCCATGAGTCTACATAGATGTCCAGCTACACTTTGGGCAGGTGTCAAAGCAGCCCTGTCTGCTGCTGGTATCATGCATATTAGGGAAGCAGAAATATCGGGGATTTTTTTTAGTTTGTTGCGGGTTTTTTTGAGATAGGGTCTCACTCTGTTGTTTAGGCTGGAGGGCAGTGGCGTGATCATAGCTCACTGCAGTCTAGACCTGCAGGCTCAAGCGATCCTCCCGCCCCAGCCTCCCAAAGCACTGGGACCACAGGCATGTGCCACCATGCCTGGCTAATTTGTTTTTGATAGTCAGGTTCTTGCCAAGTTGCTCAGTCTGATGAATAGTTATAAAGGAGGAATCAAGAGTTAGATTGGAGCCGGGCATAGTGGCTAATGCCTGTAATCCCAGGACTTTGGGAGGCCAAGGCAGGTGGATCACCTGAGCTTAGAGTTTGAAACCAGCCTGGCCAACATGGTAAAACCGCATCTCTAATAAAAATACAAAAATTTGCCAGGTAGGGTGATGGGCATCTGTAGTCCCAGCTACTCGGGAGGCTGAGGCAGGAGAATCGCTTGAACTGGGGAGGCAGAGGTTGCAGCGAGCAGAGATCACGCCACTGCACTCCAGCTTGGGTGACAAGAGTGAAACTCCATCTCAAAAAACAAAAAACAAAAAACAAAAAACAAAAAAAAACCTAGGTCAGATAATACAGCCTCTAGTACACCCTACCATACAACATTTAGTACTTGTTTCTGGATTACCGTTCCTATAAACAGTTCATCTAATTCAAAGCTATGAAGCATTCTTTCAGATGCGCAGGGGAATTCGTATCTGGCCTTCATCTCTGCTCCCCCAGCTGATATCTGTGCCCCTGCCATGGCATGTCCCCAGTGTGACCTGCGTCACCAAACACTGCACTTGGTGAGATCCCTCAAGAGAAGGACTAAGCCTGTCTCATCTTTACTCCCCGCTGGCACGTAGCGGGCATCCGAAAACACTGAATGAACTAAATACTGAGTAAACAGTTCAATATTTTATGCTGCACTGTTTTTCTCCCCCCAAGATCAGAGAGTGACAAAATAAGTGGTGACATTTGCTGCAGTTTAACCTGATGAAGTTGTTCATTGCATATCTTATCGATGGAGAGCTGTAAATAGGAGGTTGTTTAAGGAGGAAATGATGCTAATGGCAATCTTAAAGCCAGGTTCCTGGAGCCCTCTGAGCCTTGCTGTGTTTACCTACGCCACAACCAGGGTGTGAGTGAGGGGGAGGCAAACACATCCTGTATGGTGGGTGGTCAATGTCTAGCTCTCCTCCATAGTGGCAGCCCAGATGGGCAGCTGGAGCCCTCCAGCCCTGACCCCAGAAGTAGCACGCTCCCTCATCGCTCAGCAAAGCCTGGGTCATAGCCCCCGGCCCCCATCAAGGCACCGGAGTCACTGGGCTCAAAAGGTACAAAGCCTCAGTTAGATAGGAAGAATAAATCTGTCTTTTTTTTTTTAGATCAATTACACAGCAGGCTGAATACAGCTAATAATTGAGTGCTGCACATTTCAATATTGCTAAACTGATACTTTTCTTTTTCTTTCTTTTTTTTGAGACACAGTCTTGCTCTGTTGCCCAGGCTGGAGTGCAATGGCACAATCTCAACTCACTGCAACCTTCGCCTCCCAGGTTCAAGCAATTGTCCTGCCTCAGCCTCCTGAGTAGCTGGGATTACAGGTGTGTGCCACGATGCCTGGCTAATTTTTGTATTTTTAGTAGAGATGGGGTTTCACCATGTTGGCCAGGGTGGTCTTGAACTCCTGACCTCAGATGGCTCAGCCTTACTCTTTCGGCTTTCTCTGCACCGGTTAATAGCTCACCGTCCATGCAACACCTGGCACAGAAACCAGAGTCTCAGCCTCACCATCCTCTCTCTTTTCCCACATCCAACCAATCTCCAAGGACTTTGGGCTTCGTTCTAAATATCTGTGACCCTGCCTTCACACACGCAACCCTTCTGCTGCTGTCTTCCTCCTAAGCCAGCGGTCTGCCAACCTCCCTGTCTCCATCTGTTGGAGAAGCAGCCTTCCCCACTACCTGCCTGAGTACACGTGGCTTCACGTCGCCTAACTACCAAGGGCCGTGTCTGTAGAGCTAACGGATGAAGTCCATGTTTTGCCCTCTTTAAATGTTTTCCCTTCCTTCTCTGCCTCTTCCCCAGCTCCCGAAAATACCATTCTCATGACAGCTCCACGCCGCCCCAGGTTTGCTCCTCTTTCCATCTCTTTATAATCCTGTCCTGAGCTGCCCTCCCAGTGATAACAAACAGGCATGTACATTCAGGGTACTACAATGTAAAAGTACTCCAGACAGCGTTCAAACGCCTGGTTCTAAGCATGATGTGTTTACGGCATCCATGCACTCAGTAGATGATGTCCATACAGAGATTATACTAATAGCATATATACCTTATAAAACATTTAATGACTAGTTACTGTAATCAATATATTTGTACCAATTAACCCCAAATGTTGCACTGGTCTATTTTCCACTTAGTCTATTAGTTAGCTGTTAGGAGCTAATTAATTTCTACTTAGAAGAGGTAGCAAGATATGCAATGTTTAAATAAGTGACTTTCTTTTTAATTACTCTATTTTAGTTCCCATTTTCTTTTCTGCCAAACCTGTTGTGTAAGTTGCTAATAAATGACAGAATGAACTTATTTTCACTGAATCCTTTTATTTCTGTTGCCCACCTATTCTCAGAGATGCAGATAAATGGATAAAATCCAAAAGAGAGGAGTGAGGTGAGGGGGAAAAGTATGAATAATTTACAAGCTAGATGATTAGGTCTTAGAGTGATCAAGAGGTGATGCTGTAATTTAATAGCAAAAAGAAGAAAGAAAAAGACATAAGATGTATGGGGAGATGTGAGGTGAATTAAGGCTGAGGACTATGTAACTTAATATGAACAGTCCTAAACCAAATATATATTCTTACCTAAACCTACACATATTTCCTTAATATTTCAAGTCAGACAAAACCAGATTTCCTAAACAAGTTTACTATTAACATAAAACTTTTTATTAATTCATGGTATTTACCAGTCTTCTTAATTTCAACCAATAACAAACTAAATGCTCAATAAAACAGTTGTTGATTAAATGTTCAGGACTCCATAAATACGTGATTCCTCCATGCAGGTGGTGAGGTACTGTCTGTTTCTATCAACTTGTACCTCATTTTCCTTATCTTTAAAATGAGAATGGGCCAGGCATGGCGGTTCATGCTTGTAATCCAGCACTGTGGGAGGTCAAAGTGGGAGGACCACTTGAGCCCAGGAGTTTGAGACTGCGATGAGCTGTCATCACACCACAGTATCCAGCTGGGCAACAGAAAGAGATCCTGTCTTGATGAATTAATTAACTAACTAATTAAAATGGGAATAATTTACTTCATAGGAATGTTATGAAGCTTGAATGCATTAAGACACACAAAGCCCTCAGCACAGTGCCTGGCATATAGTAAGTACACAAGTGGTAGCTATAATTATTATTTTTGGTACTGTAATGCTAAGTTAGTGATATTCACAGATGGCCCCCAAAGTGGAGAGAGACAGTGGACTTGGTGACTGTGGAGAGACAGTGGACTTGGTGACTGTGGAGAGAAAAACAGCCTCGTAAAGCCGGAGCACACTGTCAGGGGAACGGGAAGTGGTAGCTGCTCAAAGGCATCTGCTCCAGGCTGAGAAAACCAAGAGCAGCGTGCGACTTCAGTTTTTCTCTGTGCAGGTAGAAAACCTGCCCGAGGTCATACTGAAAGTGGCAGAAGAGGGAATGGAATTAAGATTTTCGTGTTTTGTACTCTCTTTGCTGTCTGCACAGTTTTCCCAAAGGAAAGGCCATTTCAACAGCTGATACACGTTCCGCAAGTTTTAGCAACCCAGGCACACGTTCAGGAACAGTCGGCAAATCACCTTCTCAGTGGAGAGCAGATGGGCAGCCCTTTTTCTAGAAGAATAAAGCCTCTAAATGACACTTATTAGTGGACAGCACCCCTTGCCCTCATTTTGTTCAGAAAGCACCAGCAACCACCGTTCATCCTTTCTACTCATTATTTGTGTGCAAGAACTTTCATTTCTCTGCTACCAATCCTTCTCCTACCTCCTAATGGACTCATCAAAGAGGCTGCTGCTTCTAAGTTGCCAGTTACATAAACTATGATGAAGCACTGGCTGTTTGAACAGGGTGGAGAGAGTGGGCCACCTAGCCTAATAGCAGCAGTTAATCCCTGGAAGCACCTGCATTCTATCAAAAAGGCTATTTACATGAGAAAGTACAATCTGTCTTTAGAGGAAAACAAGACACCGTTGTCTTGAACAGAAACTCCAATACACAGTCTCAGCTGCCTTTGAAGTAGGCTGGGAATGAATCTCTAAGCTGGAGAGTGGACCCTGCACGAAGGCTGTGTTCAGGATATTCATCATGAGATTACTGCTAAAAACACACGGATACCGTGTTCAGACGTGAGGGATGCCTCGGTTTTCTAAATTCACCAATTCCACCGCTATTTTTCAGGGATACCGTGTTCAGACGTGAGGGATGCCTCGGTTTTCTAAATTCACCAATTCCACTGCTGTTTTTCAGGGGCATGTTAATTATTTTAGGTATGTCTGCCTCACCTTTAAATGTGTTGCCTTCGGGCTGCAATAAGCAGAGAGCCATGCTCTGTGAGTAATCTGTGTGGGTTGACTTTATAGAGCTTCTCAGGTCAGAGTTTGCCTCTCTCTCTCTCTCTCTGTATATATATATATACATATACATATATATATATGTGTGTGTGTGTATATATATAAAATATATATTCACTAAAAATAATTTATATATAAATACATGTAAGTATATATTTAGTAAAATTGTGACACACATAAAAATAATTTATATATATACAATATAGAATATACATATATAATTTAAAACCAGTGCTAGCCAGGAGTGGTGGCTCACACCTGTAATCCCAGCACTTTGGGAGGCCGAGGAGGGTGGATCACCTGAGGTCGGGAGTTCAAGACCAGCCTGACCAACATGGAGAAACCCCGTCTGTACTAAAAATACAAAATTAGCCGGGCGTGGTGGTGCATGCCTGTAATCTCAGCTACTCGGGAGGCTGAGGCAGGAGAATCGCTTGAACCCAGGAGGCGGAGATTGTGATGAGCTGAGATTGTGCCATTGCACTGCAGCCTGGGCAACAAGAATGAAACTCTGCCTCAAAAACAAAACAAAACAAAACAAGAAACAAAACACACACACACACACACACAAACCTGTGCTTAGAACAGTGTACAGAACCAAAAACAATTTATTTCTTTTAGAATAATGAACTTAATCTTCACAGCAATCTTAGGCCATAGATGCTATACTAGGGGATAGATACTATCCCCATTCTATGGAAGAGGAAATTGAGGCTTTGAGTGGTCAAGTAATTTACCAAATATTACTCAGCTTACCAATGGCCAAGAGACATGAAAAGATGCTCAACATCACTCATGATGAGGGAAACGCAGATCCACACCACAATGAGATGCCACCTCACACCCATTAGGATGGCTACTGTGAAGAGGAAAAAGGTACTGGGGAGGGTATGGAGAAATTGGAACCCGTATGCACTCTTGTGGGAGTGTAAAATGGGGCCGCTACTATGGAAAACAGTATGGTGGCTCCCCAACAAATTAAAAACAGAACCACCATTTGACCCAGCCGTTCTACTTCTGGATATATCCAAAAGAATTGAGAGCAAGGTTTCAAAGAAACATGTGTATACCCATGTTCACAGCAGAATTATTCACAAGAACCAAGAGATGGAAGCAACTCAATGTTGATACATTAATGGATAAACAAAATGTGGTATATACATACAGCAGCATACTACTCAGCCCTTAAAAGGAAGGAAATTCTGACATATGACACAATACGGATGAAACTTGAGGACATTATGCCAAGTGCAACAGACCATTAACCAGAGAAGAAGTTCTGTGTGATCCCACTTATATGAGGTACATAGAGCAGTCAGATTCACGGAAACAAAGTGGAATGGTGTTTGCCAGGGGCTGGTGGGAGGGAGAATGGGCAGTGAGTGTTGAAAGGGTGTGGAGTTGCAGTTTGGGGAGATGCAGAGTATTCTGGAGGTGGATGGATGGTGGTGATGGCTGCACATCATGTCAATGTACCTAATGCCATGGAAGAGTCAGGGGTGTCCAATCTTTCGGCTTCCCTGGGCCACATTGGAAGAAGAAGAACTGTCTTAGGCCACACTTAAAAAACACTGACACTAATGATAGCTGATGAGTTAAAAAACAAAAAGAAAACACCAAAAAAATCTCGCAATGTTTTAAGAAAATTTACGAACTCGTGTTGGGCTGCGTTCAAAGCCATCCTGGGCCTCATGTAGACTGCAGGCTGCGGGTTGGACAAGCTTGATGAACTGTACACTTAAAAATGATTCAGATGACACATTTTTTGTATGAGGCATATTTTACCACAATTAAAACAACAACAACAAACATTCCTCAGCTACTAAGCAGGTGAGCCAGCACTCACATGCAGATCTGTGTGGTCTTTCTACCAGGCCAAAACCAAGCTCCATTCTCACAGAAGATCTGTTCAGGCCACGGGTCCTTTCTGAAGGACAGATGTTAGGACACTGAATTTAACCCTTCACTACTGTGTTAAAGACCACGCTACTGACAGGGAGATGGCCCTGTCTCCTTTGATGAAGCTTAGGACATCGAAATACTTTACGGTGGGATTCTACCAGGACCACTCAGCTTCTTAGGTTGGCTAAAGTATGTCTCACTAGATGGCAGCATTGCCCACACAGCCTTTTTTTTTTTTTTTTTTTTCATCTTTTTGGCCCATCAGTGTCTTTCGGTTTTAACCCCACCAACCTCCCCACCTCCCAGGGAGGAGATACAATACAGCGCATTGAGTTCTAAACTGCTATGCAGAGGAATAAGATGAGAAACCTGGCTTGGAAATCCTAGGCACCCCAAATTGCCCCCAAAGAAATCACGTCAGGAGTGTGTGCGGTGGGTAACCCTCCCCAGGAGGCCTGCAAATCTGACCTATCTGAGGAATCGGTCCCCTTCCCTCCAGAGAGGGGCTGGGGCAGGGGCAGGGGTAAATGCATGGGAGACCTGTGTTTGACTCCCATCGCTGTCACTTCCTAGCCGTGTGACCTGGCACAGGTCGCCTGACAGGCCTGGGCCTCAGTTTTGTCATTTGTAATTCTTGAGGGCTGCCTTCTAGTCTTGCTTCCAACCATGTCTGTTGCTTGAACCAAAAGGGAGCACGTCATGAACAAGCAGGTGGGGTCAACCTCCCTGGCGACGCAGCGCCTTGCAGCCTAATGGACGGTGGGGAGCAGCCTAGTGAAGGTGATGGAAACCATCAGGCTGGCTCAGATGAGTCATCTAATTAGACAACTCCCAGCCACAGCCTTGAATATAGACATGGCTGCTGCTGTCTTTGCTTTTCATATGGAATCTTTTTTTCTCCCCAGTGTCTCAAGTCATTGCCCAGGCTCTCAGATGAGCAATGGAGGGATATGTTAACTCCTCGGGGCCAGTGGTGCTGCAGAAATGGACTAAGTCTCCAGAGTCCCAAAATTAGTGACTAATATGCTTCTAAACACCTAAATGACTCCCTCGGAGTGACTTAAGCATATGAAATATATGACTCATTAACTAATCCTCACAAATACCTCTATAAGATAAAGGCATGCTAATTCATCACACTAAAGACTGTTAGCACAGTAAAATCTCAATTAGAAATGAATTAGGTGTATGTCTGGGGTGGGGTAGGTGAGGACTTTTTTTTTTTTTTTTTGAGACGGAGTCTTGCTCTGTCGCCCAGGCTGGAGTGCAATGGCACAATCTCGGCCCACTGCAACCTCTGCCGCCCGGGTTCAAGCGATTCTCCTGCCTCAGCCTCCTGAGGAGCTGGGATTACAGGCACATGCCACCATGCCTGGCTAATTTTTGTGATTTTAGTAGAGACGGGGTTTCAGCATCTTAGCCAGGCTGGTCTTGAACTCCTGACCTCAGGTGGTCCACCTGTCTCGGCCTCCCAAAGTGCTGGGATTACAGGCATGAGCCACCGCGACCAGCCGAGGACATTTCAATTTTCCAATTTATCGAAACTTGCAAATTATATAATAATTTTAAAAGAAAGGTTTATATTTTATAAATACATAAAAGAATAGGAAAGCAAACATATTAATAATATACCATAAGCATATAGATAAGGAAACCAAGAATGAAAGGGCTGAGTCCTGTGTTTCAAAGAGTTCGGTAAGAATCACAAACCAAAAAAAAAAAAAAATCATAAACTAGGCCTGAATTGCTTGATATTTCAAATGAATTCCAAAATAATAACGTTTGACTTGTTTGGGTTATTTTAAATGTGACCTGTCCACTACGCTGTAAAATTTTAAATGATTCGAATCTATTTGCTGCTTTCCCTCCTCCCTTAGAAAGATCCCCAAATATGGGGGAAAACTGGTCAATGAGCCTTTCAGTATTTTATTAATTCACTAATGATAAAATGAGATCACATCTACTTAAAATATGACATTCTCACACGAGATGTGATGTACATATGGAAAGTTGATTTTTTGGCAATATGTCAAGGAGGGAATGTTTTCAGATTTGCAGGATAACATTTATTTTATGTGCTTGATATTCACTTTATGAAATTGGTGATTGATGTCTTTTCATCTGCCACTGGCTCTTACAATGGAAAAGAGGGTCCTGATTCCATTTAACTTGAGTCACATGAACTTGAGTTGAGTAAAAGAAAATGGCGCTCAAGGTTCAGTCAACTTCACGGAGAAGTCGCCATGTGTCACACACAGCACTAAGTATGCAAAACACGCCCTCTCACATGATCCCAACAACAGCTCTGGAAGTTTCCACTCTGCAGAGGAGGAAATTCAGGCACATAGCAGTTAAGAAGCCCGCTTGAGGTCACACAGTCAGCAAGGAACCTGGTGTTTTATTTCTGGTGCATGAGCAGCAAATCCAGCATGACCCCAACCTCTCATTGTGTGAGATTTGGATAAAATCATTGATGAGTATCAGCCTCAGACTTTCTAAAACGATCTGTTTTCTTTGTCATTAAAATGAAAAAAAGCAGTAGCTGTTGTTTCCCCCTTGGCCTGCTCACCATGGAGCCTGCATACTCCCTGGCTCTTTTCTTCAACCCATAGGAAAGTGAAAATTCAGCCTGAGGGAACAAGGTCTGGGGAGGGTGGCTGAGTGAGACAGGATGTGGGCAGACCTCTAACACACAAGACGACTGTGAAAAGCATCTACATCTAGGCAATCTTCTCTCCCACCTGTTTCACCCCCTGTGCAGGGATGCTCAGCTCTGCCCCCAACCCAAGCTTTGCCTGGGAGGGGAAAATAACTCCTCCCTTGCTTGGGTGATAATAGCCACATTCCCACCACCCCCCACCTCCCCACCTAACCCCTCTCACCCACATCAAAAAGGGGGAGGGATGGTAAGTAACTATTACTAGTAACTAAGAAATTCCCCTTGAAGGCACACAGCATCTTACCTGCTGTTTCTAGCCTCCTTTTAGAGCCTAGAAATGTTACTAAAGATAAAAACAAAAAATACAGACCAAATTATCAGCTTGATCGGTAGAGAAGGAACAAGGCTCCCCCAGCAGCAGTCTGATTAGGCTCGCAACTTAAATTTATCTACTCTCAGGTGGTGGCCCAAGAGGTGCTGTTTACATTTATGTCTGTGGCTGTGAAAGCACAAATGACTTACAAGGTATTCTGTAAGTTCAGAAGAGGAGGCTGTTATTCTATGAAAAACCCACGCATACAGGTTGATCGTTGACTTTGTCCCTGAGCATTTTTTCATTTTGTCTGGCTCTTGAGAGGCTCCCCTCCAGTATAAGGATGCATGCAGGTATGACACGTCCCTCCCTCTCTCGACTTGGCCCGTTTTCATCTTTTCCACTTGTTCCTTTTTTTTCCTCCAAGCAAAGAACATGAATGAGAATCCTCCACTGCTGACCAGCCGTGGATGCTGCACCTGCTCCTTCTTCAGAAGTGGTTCAGCAAGGAAAGAGCCCGCATGTACCTTTTACCTCTGCAACTTCACTTTTCTTCTTTTTATTTATCTATCTTATCTAGCTAGCTAGTTATCTGTCTGTCTGTCTGTCTATCTATTTAGAATGTGACCTTATTTGGAAATAGGGTCTTTGAAGATGTAATTATTAGATAGGTGCAAAAGTAATTGCAGAAATTGCTATGATTTTTAATGGCAAAACCCACAATTGCTTTTGCACCCATATAGTAGTTAAGGATTGAGATGAGATCCTACTGGATTGGGGTAGACTCTAAACCCAATGGCTTTTGTCCTTATAGAAAAGAAGAGGACACAGCGAGACCCAAGGCAGAGATTGGAGGGATGCATCAGAAGCCAAGGAATACCTGGAGCCAACAGAAGGGCGAGGAAGGACTCTTCCCTGGGGCCTTCAGAGGAAGCACAGCACGGCCGACACCTTGATTTCAGACTTGCAGTCTCCAGAACTATGAGAATACATTTTTGTTGCTTTTAAAGCCACAGGCTGGGGGCGGTGGCTCACGCCTGTAATTCCAGCACTTTGGGAGGCTGAGGCGGGTGGGTCACCTGAGGTCAGGAGTTCAAGACCAGCCTGACCAACATGGTGAAACCCTGTCTCTACTAAAAGTACAAAAATTAGCCAGGCGTGGTGATGCGTGCCTGTAATCTCAGCTACTCAGGAGGCTGAGGCATGAGCATCACTTGAACCCAGGAGGCAGAGGTTGCAGTGAGCCAGGCACAGTGGCTCACGCCTGTAATCCCAGCACTTTGGGAGGCTGAGGCAGGCAGATCACCTGAGGTCAGGAGTTCGAGACCATCCTGGCCAACATGGTGAAACCCTGTCTCTACTAAAAGTACAAAAATTAGCTGGGTGTGGTGGTGGGCACCTGTAATCCCAGCTACTCAGGAGGCTGAGGCAGGAGAATCACTTCAACCTAGGAGGCGGAGGTTGGAGTGAGCCAAGATTGTGCCGCTGCACTCCAGCCTGGGTGATAGAGCAAGACTCAGTCTCAAAAAAAAATAAATAAAAAATAAAAAATAAAGCCACATAGTTAGTAGTAAATTGTGATGGCAGCCATAAGAAACAAACACCTGTCTCTCAGCCTATCACTCATCTATCCACACACATTCATTGTTCTCTTCCCTGTACCTATTACGCCAGTGCCAGATAAATTC
Organism: Homo sapiens; assembly: GCF_000001405.40. Taxonomy (NCBI): domain Eukaryota; kingdom Metazoa; phylum Chordata; class Mammalia; order Primates; family Hominidae; genus Homo; species Homo sapiens. Next base: position 245,376,541 of record NC_000001.11, on the reverse strand, counting down.
TTCCTTAACACTGTGGTTCTTGGACTTGGCCAAGTTCAAACCAAGGCCTGGGTCCCACCTGCAGATATTCTCATTTAATTCGCCTGGGGTGTGGCTTAGGCATTAGGATTTTTTTTTTTAATCTCCCAAGTAATTCTAGTGTGAAGCCAAAATTGAGAATTCCTGCTTTCAGGCAAAGAAATCTTCCCATTCCCCTGCTCCGGAATCCCCATTGACTGTGTCCTGCCTACCAGATAAAACGTGATACCAGCAAACACTCACATGCTGCTCTACAACGTCCAAAGTGCATTCAAGTGCATGCATTATGAAGATCTTTACCAGATGAGGTAAGAATTATTGCTGGGGCAGTTCTGTGAGATCTCCTTCTATCAGATCAAAAGGCCTCTAGCAAAGATGAACTTCCTTCTACATGAAATTCAGTGAAGTCTCTCCTTCCCCTCCCGTTCCTTCCATCCCTCCCACCCCCAGCTTGGAATGATTTCTGCAGTTTCAACAGTATGAGACTTACATAATTGTAATGACTAGCTACCAATGGAGAGTCGCTGTGGTGTGCTACTTATTATGATTCTATAACAATAGGGAAATCTGAGACAATCGCAAACCAGCGGTGCAGTATGAGTAACCTCTCATTCTGTGGTGGCACCCAGATGAAAGAATCTGACTTGTGCATGGACCGGCCGATCCGCAGGGTAACGGGGTTTGTTGTGTGAGATGAAAAGCCCACGTTCTTGCTGTCCTGCAGGTTTCTGCAGGGACTCCTTGGTCTGTAGACCCCATCCCGCTTCTCCTTACCAAGCTTTTCAGTTAACAGAAGGCTCACCAGTTGTAATAGCTTCCTATTGCTGCTGAAGCAAAATAGCACACATTTAGCAGCTTCAAACAACAAAAACTTACCCTCTTAAAGTTCTGGAGACCAGAACTCAAAAATGGCCCTGCAGGGCTGGCTTCTTCTGGAGGCTCTAGGGGAGAATCACACCCTTGCCGTCCTCAGCTTCTAGAGGTTCCTTCTTCCATCATCAAAGCCAACAGATTTGTATCTCTCTCCTCTCTGACCTCTGCTTCTGTCCTTCCACCTCCTCTCTCTGGTTCTGATCCTCCTGCCTTCCTCTTTAAGGATCCTTGTAATTACATTGAGTCCACCCAGATAGTCTAAAATGATCTCCTTGGCCGGATGTGGTGGTTCATACCTGTAATCCCAGCACTTTGGGAGGCTGAGGCAGGCAGATCACCTGAGGTCAGGAGTTTGAGACCAGCCTGGACAACATGGTGAAACCTCATCTCTACTAAAAATACAAAAATTAGCCGGACATGGTGGTCCATGCCTGTAATCCCGAGGTTGAGGCAGGAGAATCGCTTGAACCTGGGAGGTGGAGGTTGCAGTGAGCCAAGCTCGCACCATTGCACTCCAGCCTGGGTGGCAGAGTGAGACGCCGTCTCAAAAAATAATAATAAAATTAAATTAAATGATCCCCCATCTCAAGATCCTTGGCTTAATCACATCTGCTGAGGCCCTTTTACCATGTAAGGTAACACATCCACAGATTGCGGGGATTAGGGTGTGGGCATCGTTGGGGGGCCCCTATTCAGTCTACCACACCAAGCAAACGCCCAGATTGAACGTATTTTTGAAGTTTCCTAGTGAAGTCTGGGTGTTCCCTTCAGACCACGGCCCCATCCATATTCATAAGCTGTGACTACCCTTTTGGAATTTCACCCTGAACACTCTAGCCTTGAGAAATGTGTGTCCATGACCGAATATACAAATTGATTCTTTTTTCCATGTTCATAATTTGTCAAAAAGCATAAAGATACATAACCTAATATCCCTTTGACCGCCTATAAACAGGAGAAAACAAAACCCATGGTCTTAAGAATCTCTTCCACGTCATAATTGGTCTAATCGTGGCATCTTACACTATTGCCTGACTGGGTAGACACAGCAGCAAGTGGGAAGCAGGTGACCCCAGTGCTGGCCCAAGAAGGGGTGTGCTGCATATTTCAGGGCACAAGTGGCTGGATGAGCCCTCAAGAGCTGCGAAGAACGTGGATGAAAATCCTATACTCCTGACCTGCTGGAAACACCCACCCCTGTTCCTTCTTGAAAAGTGGTTCGGCCGGGAAGAGCACGTGTATACCTCATCTCCCGACATCAGCCATACTAGAACACACGCTTCTGCTTTCCACGAAGCCACAATCGGCAAAGCCTCTGAGTACAACAGCACTTGGTGGGCCTCCCAGAGCCTCACCTTCCTCCTGCAGGGGCGCTTGGAAGTCCTCTAGCACCAAGATCCCCCAGGGCTTCTGATCTCGGAGGAGCAAGTGTTATGCACCGCAGAGGTCCTGTCATTTAGCAAACCTTGATATATGTTGAGGTTGGTGTTGCTTTTACATCCTTTTGTGCCCATATATATATATATATATATATATATATATATATATATATATATTTTTTTTTTTTTTTTTTTTTTTTTTTTTTTTTTTTGAGATAGGTTCTCGGGTCTCTGTCACCCAGGTTACAGGCAGTGGTACAATCACATCTTCCTGCAGCCTGGAACTCCTGGGCTCAAGGAACCCTCTCGCCTCACCCTCCTGAGTAGCTGGGACTACAGGCATGCCACCACGCCTGGCTGATTTTTTATTTCTGTGTAGAGAAGGGGTTTTACTCTGTTGCCTAGGCTGGTCTCTAACTCCTGGCCTCAAGCAGTTCTCACCTTGGCCTCCCAAAGTGCTGAAATTACAGGCATGAGCCACCGTGCCCAGACTGTGCTCATATCTTAAAATGTAAAGTCCAGTAATGGCTGTGCTTCATAGGCGCAATCATTTCTAAAGCTGTAATAGAGACTACCTCATAATGACTTCGGCCAGTGTTCAGTCCAGCATTACCTCTCACATTCATTCCAATGCATGTTTTTAGAGAAAGCAGGAAAAATTGTATCAAGAGCATTTTCCTGCAACTCAAGGAATGCACATGGACGACCTTCATTGCATCAACGGTCCACTATGGATTTATTACTTGTAGATTAAGCTAACATCTTCTGAATTTTCTTGACAAGTTCAATCGAGTGAAATCCTATGAAATAAAGCTCTTCTATCCTTTCAAATGCCCCTGTATTGAGTGTGGCATCGAAATGCCAGCGAGGTTCTTTCCACTGCATCTAAGGATTTATTAAGTATGATTAAGACACTTCAGGTTAAAGATTAGCTTGGAATCAAATACCTGGTGGTTTCCACCTAAATCCTTGGGTTCTAGATAGGTCTTTGGCCTGGAATTCTTTCCTAAACTAGGGCCAGTCATGGAAAGTAATTGTAGTGCATCCCTGAGATAGGAGCTGTCTCTAATAAAGAACAACATTTTCACGTTAGCTGCTGTGAGGGATGTGAGAATAAAATGAGTCCCTGTTGTCCAAGAGTGTGTGATTTAGCAAAAGAGATCAAACTAGGATTTAGAAAACTCTGAACAAAAGAAGCTTCAAATCTCTCAGCCTCAGGTTTCTCCTCTGGTAAATGAAAAGGTTGAAATAGATAATTTATACCGGTATTCCTGCTTTATAGTTCATAAAATATTTTCACGCCTTCTTCTTAATTGTTCCCTATAATCACCCCATGAGGTAGGAATTTCATAGGTGAGGAAATAGACTAAGATGTCAAGCTACTAAACTGGTTTAATAGTTGGTGGGACCACAGGCTTGAACTAGGTAAGACTCTGTCTCCAAATCTCCTACCATGATGCAAAAGACAGTTACCATCCTACACAGGTGCATTCCAACACCAACATCACCAACATCCTATAACTCCGTGTGTTATGTGTACAGTCTTTCCTGCAGTTATTGACTATAATAAATGTTAATCAGGCAAAAGCAGCTGCCATTCAAAAAGAGGTAACTAATCTGTAGTTGATTACAAGGAACTAATCTAGACACATCCTTTCAAAGTCACAATTTCATGTGGTCAAATGAAGGCTGTAACACATGGCTACAAAGACGAGGAACAATAGACACTGGGCCTACTTGGGGGTGGAGGGTGGGAGGAGGGTGAGGATCGGAAAACCACCTTTTGGGTACTATGCTCACTACCTGGGTGACAAAATCATTTGTACATCAAACCCCAGTGACACACAATTTACCCACATAACAAACCTGCACGTGTACCCCCAAACCAGAAATAAAAGTTGGAAGAAAAAAGATGAAGATTCTAGAGCAGTGATTCCCAACCTTTTTGGCACCAGGGACCAGCTTCATGGCAGACAAATAGGGCGCGGAGATGGGATGAAACTGCTCCACCTCAGATCATCAGGCATTAGATTCTCATAAGGAGCATGCAACCTAGATCCCTCACATGCACAGTTCACAGTAGGGTTTCTGCTCCTAGGAGAACCTAATGGCACTGCTGCTCTGACAGGGGATGGAGCTCAGGAGGTAATGCCCACCCACCCGCCAGTCACCTCCTGCTCTGCGGCTGGCTCCTTAACAGGCCACAGAGTGGTATCAATCTGTGGCCTGGGGTCTGGGGACCCCTGCGCTAGAGAATTTTCTGCTTTCTCTGTGTGTGTATAGATTGTGCTAAATGTCTGCAGATGAACAGAAGAAAGTCTTTCTTTGAAAGCCCGTCTTATAATCTCCTATTAAATCAATTTTCTAAGATATTTAATGAGAATTATCTTTGTGGTTTGTTCAACATTTTTGATGTCATCTTAGTACTTCCTAAATTACTCTTTTTAAAATCTCTCTGGATCGATTCCTATTTATCTGTGATGCTTACAGGTTCCTGGTCTTTCTGGAGGTACTTTAGAAATGTGAAGGATATAGCAAACGAGAATCAAGAATCTTCCTACTGCAACCTTTGGAGATTATTACACAGTGGTGCGGGCCACGGGGATTGAGGGATTCGAGGGACCTTCTGTCGCCCATGTGACGCAGATTTCCCCAGGCTCACTGCTGGAAAGCCTGTCCGCATCGTTTTCATCCTTGCGACGTCTAAATTGCAGAAAGGCAGAGTCGTCTTCTCCCTCATTTCTAGAGGCTCGGGTCCCGCGGGTGTGGAGCCGCACCCTTGGTAGTGACAAGGTCTAGATGCTTCTCTGCCCGGGGAATGGCTCTGGCACTGATCCAGAGGCCATCTGCTCTGTGGGGAGGGAAGTGGGAGTATGGGTAAGCAGGAAAAATGAGGTCAGCTTTCAGAGCAGTCAACCGTCTCTGACGAGCTGGCTAGACTGCGAACTGTACAATATGTACTGCAGGGAGATGTCCGCAACAGGAGACACTCAGTCTGGCCAGACCCAGAGCCCCCACCCCAGGGCATCAGGACGACACAGTCACAACACAGGGGACGCAGATTCATAGCCAGGCACCAAATCTCTTTATCCCAGAGAGATTTCCTCTGGTCCCTTCATTACTGAGGGGAAATGCATGAATTGGTCTGTTCTGGAGTTGGAAAGAAGCAACAGAACATACCCAGGATGACCACAAGTTGGTGGCTTGTGTGAATCTTGGTTGTATCTGGCTTTGCCACATCGGGCGGGATTAGGAGCCTGTCTGCATGCCCCCAAAGCACCGCGGCATCTCTTCACCTCTGCACTCACCTGCCTTCTGTCCCACTGCAAGGACCTCAGGACAGGAACCAGGGTTTCCAGCCCAAGGCTGCGGCCCCACCCACCACCTAGCACAGTGCCTGGTACTTGGTTAGAGATTAATAAATACTTGTACAGTAAATTCTCTTTCATCTGAGTTTGGGAAGTAAGAGGAAGAACAGAATCATTGCACAAATAAAAGAAACGCACAAATAATCCCTAATCGGCCGTTTAAGCAGCATCTTCAGTGTTTCCGACTTACACACAAACTTTCACCTCACTTTGAATATTTTACAGGAAAGCACCAGTTTCATGCTCCTCTGTCCTCGCTCATCAGCGCTGGCGCAGCCGCCGAGTCTTCTAACCGGCCCCTGCCACGTGTGACAAGAGCTTCGGAGTCCTGGAAGGTGAAATGTGAGTTGTCTGTGTAACACAAGTATGTGGCTCACACAAGCCAGGCATGTGTTGAAACTATGGCCTGGGTAAAAGGATGTTCACCTGAGCATTGTATTTATAGTAGCAAAGACCTAAATTCTAATTAATTGATGTTTGGTTATATATTAGGTGGGTGCAAAAGTCATTGCGGTTTTTGCCATTGAAAGTAATGACAAAAACCGCAATGACTTTTGCACCAACCTAATAAATGAGGACATCTCCATAGCGTGGAAAATATTCATATAATGAAATATGTTACTGCTAAAGATAATATTTTAGGGAAACATATAGTGGCATGGGGAAATGTACCCAATGTATTAAGTGAACTGCAGGTCACAGAATTGAACCTGGTCACAATTTTACAAATTGCGAGTGTATGAAATGCTAGGAGGAAGTATCCCCAAATGTTACATAGTTTATATCCGGGTGACATCGACTTTTAAAGTCTCATTTAAACTTCCTCATGTATTTTAAATTTTATTTTACAACAAATATGTTACTTTTGATAATTTTCTAAATGGTATATTTTAAAACTGCAAACAAAAAAAAGCAAATTATCCCATGATGCAAAGAAGCCCTTCTCTGTTCCTGCCCTAGAAGGTTACTTCCAAGGTTAGAATGTGAAGCACTGCACAGGACGCCACTGGTTCCTCATTATATTTATATACACATCCCAGAAGATTCTATCCAAAAGTCTAGGGGCAGTGAGGCCCCTGCAGGTAAAACGAGTTCTTTTCTTTGTGACACCAGGTCTGAAAAGGAACCATATCTGGAAAAGATGTCGGCAGCTTACTTTGGGGTAGCCTAGGAAAGTTGGAAGAAACCGCGGTAGGCAAAGCCATTCCCTGGGCAAGGGGAGAGCTGGTGCTGGTTCTGCCACTGGCTGTGTGGCCACAATCAGTCCATTTCTCTAAGCATCATATTCCTTAACTGTAAAAGGAAGATCTAACACCTGCCCCACCTACCTCATAGGCCTACTGTGGGGTTAAAGGAAATAATCCATATGTTAGATTTTGTAAATTAGAAAGCACCCAGTTAAGTGAAAATTTCGACCGTCCAAGAATGCTAATATCTTAGGATAATGATCAACGTTTCCCACTTTCTTTCAAGATAGCAAGAGACATGAACACTCTCAAACGCTCTAGAGAAAGTCACCCGGCATTTTATCAACCACATTTAACTCACTCCACGTTTCCCTGTATCTTGTCCGGCGTAACAAAACTATGCTATGTGTTCACTCGACTTGTTCCTTTTTCTCCTGGGCTCACGGGTAGATTGGCTTCCCCAGCTTCACCAGTGGGAAGGTGAGATCAAGAGACTAAACTGTCTGTCTGTCTGTCTGTCTCTCTCTCTCTCTCTCTCTCTCTCTCTCACTCTTCTTTTTTCCCAATTCAGAGTCTTGCTCTGTCACCAGGCTGGAGTGCAGTGCTGCTGGAGTGCAGTGGTGCAATCTCGGCTCACTGCAGCCTCCGCCTCCTGGGCTCAGGCGATCTTCCCGTTTCAGCCTCCCAAGTAGCTGACACTACAGGCGCATGCCACCATACTTGGCTAATTTTTGTATTTTTTTTAATAGAGACGGGTTTTCGCCAGGATGCCCAGGCTGGTCTTCAACTCCTGTACTCAAGCAATCCACCCACCTCGGCCTCCCACAGTGCTGGGATTACAAGTGTGAGCCACCACGCCCAGCAAAGACTGGATTCTTGTCACTGGAATATAGATGTAAGCAACATACATCACTTCCATGCAAAGCTGGGCCCCAAATCCTCCTGTGAGATCCTCCACACACTCTATCTTCCCTCATTTCCTGGCTGGTTACAGAAGGTCTGGTGAAGGACTCTTGAGGCCCCTGGAAGATGGTGACGCATTTGGTGGAAGAAGTCTGAGTCCTCACATCACAGCGGAAGGCCACCTACCAAACACCCCCTATGACAGACCCAAGTGAGAAATAACCTGAGGTCTCTAGTCTGAGTCCTCACATCGCAGCAGAAGGCCACCTACCAAACACCCACCATGACAGACCCAAGTGAGAAAAAGCCTGAGGTCTCCAGGATCATTTGCTGTATGTACCAACTATCTTCTCTGAGTAATACACCCTTGACCGTGGCCGCCTCTCCATTCCAGTGACGGTCAATGCTCTCTGCTGCTTCCCACACCCCTGATGCAGGGGATATGGAGGCCACTTACATTAAAAATCCAGTCCTCATCCAACAGAAAACTCACCCGGGCAAAATTAGAACATCTTTAAAGATTCCCTGGGAGATTTAAGACCTGTGTTTTATTTCTATGGAGAAACTTGGGGGCATGTTCTAATTTAAATAACTGAAAAGGAAGAAACAGTTTTGGCAGCCCAATCCCAGTAGTTCTTAAGGTGAGTTGCAAATAGAAAAGAATTTGGGTCTGTCAAGGGAGGAGAGGTTAAGAAGGGCATCTACACCTCTTTTGGAAGGTATAGACAGGGAAGGCAGAGTGCCAACACGGATCACTGTTCCTTCGTATATTTTATTCTCAGCAATGTCCAGCACTTCCACAGGCTGCTTTAAAACCGTGATTCCTGGGACTCACAATATCCTTTGGTTCAAAAGCATCTCACTCATCTCACTCTCACTTAATATCTAAAATCTCTGTTAACAGGCACAACAATGATCCCCTACTATATGGCAGGTGTTGGCCTACATGTCATGCAAACACTACCTTATTTAATTCTCGTGACTCACATCCATTTATAAATGAGGGACTTGAGCCTAAGACAGGGCAAACCCCTTGTGCCAAGTCACGCTGCTAATAAGTGGACAAGTCGGGGCTTGGACCCCAGTCCAAGTATCTGTGTGGCCTACCTCTTCATGGCTCTGCCATGTGGTAAATCTGCTGGCTGGGAAGTCGCTGGCATCACCTGGACCAGCAAGGACCTCTTACACAAAGAGGGTCTCTCAGGAAGGAGACACTGAAGAGCAGAGAAAGGGCAGGTGTGGAAAGTTTGGAAGATGTAGCAACACCCTCTCAAAGCAGGCAGGCCCGGGTGGGGCACCTTGATGAGAACTCTGTGGGGGCCACATGGAAACACTGGGCTCTGAGTTACAGGGTTCCCGGGAGGAGGCAGCGGAAGGAAGTGCTGCCTACTTCTCCGCTTTGACTCCAGCCAGCCCTGCTCTTCCTGGCTCACACAGGCTACTTACCTGGTATGGGTACAGGGTGACCCCGTTGGTTCTCGACAGGGACCAGGTGCCATCCAGGTACTGGTGAGCCTGGATGGCCACCGAATTGAGGATGTTCCCATTGCTTGGACTGGTGGCCATCTGGAGGCTGACCTTGGCCTGGTGGGTTGGGGACCCGCTCTTCTTTTCCGCCCCATTGCTGACCCCAAGGCTGCTGGGTTTGCTGCCGTGCTTGTTGGCGAAGCCTGTGTAGTTGGAGGTGGCACAGGGGGCGGGCACAAAGGCCCAGTCTCTGGGCTGCTGGAGCCCACCCACGTGCCGGGACCCCACCAGGGTGGGGATGTTGGAGAGCGGTGGCGGGGAGCAGGGCGAGGCGTCGTAGTGCTCACTGCCGGCTGCCTGCTCCAACGTCAGCACCATCTGGATGGCCTCCTGCTTCAACTGGTTCAGGTGAGTGGCGCAAATGTCACAGCGGTTGTCCCGGTCGTTCCATGCCTTCCGGATGGTGTTGGGGACCTGGAGTTTGTCGTGAATCACAGCCGAGAAAGCAGGGTCCTACAGAACACAGAAGCAGAGGGAGAGGAGATTCTATAACTCCAAGGCTGCTAGTGCAAGTCAGATACCTGGCTTACCAGTCAAACCCGAGACGTACTCAAAGAGTTGGATAGTTTGATTGGCATTCCACAGAAATGAGAAGACACACTGGCAGAAAAGCCTCTATTTTTGATAAACACATTAGACAAATGTAAGAATTTTATAGTGAAAACTTTCAAAAAGAAGTTAAAAAAATAAATAAGACTTCTAAGTATCTTCTTCGCCAGGCTGGTCAAGAATATTTTTTTTTTTCTTTTTTTTTTTGAGATGGAGTCTCGCCTTGTCACCCAGGCTGGAGCGCAATGGCACGATCTCGGCTCACTGCAACCTCCACCTCTGGATTCAAGTGATTCTCCTGCCTCAGCCTCCCAAATAGCTGGGACTACAGGCGCCCACCACCACGCCCAGCTAATTTTTTGTACTTTTAGTAGAGATGGGGTTTCACTGTGTTAGACAGGATGGTCTCAATCTCCTGACCTCGTGATCCACCCGCCTCGGCCTCCCAAAGTGCTGGGATTACAGGCGTGAGCCACCATGCCTGGCAAGAACATTCTTATTCTTACATCCACTGAAGAATTATAGCCATCCCTGGGCTCTCCCAAGGTGTTCAATCAGAAGGAACAAACATTTGTCCAGGCATGATATGGGGTGAGTGCAATTCTGGACCACTGCACTGAGGTCCCTTGGCCCCCTGTTACCACAGAAAGTTAGTTGCAGATGGAGGTGCAACTTGCAACCTCGAACAGAGGTTCTGTTCTAAGAAAATCTTGGCCTTCTCAGCATTGTGTGCTAAGTACCACTGGAACAGAAGCATTTAATGGATTCAGTGAGAACAATGTCTCTTATTTACTTTGCTTTAGGATTACACAGAGAAACAAGCACCAGGAGTGTTCGTTGAGTATCAGATAGTTTCCAGTTCTGCCACTTGTGACCTTGGAGTTCTGCAGTGACCTCAGACAACTCACTGAACCTCACTGAACCTCTCGTCTGTCCACAGCGCCATGGCCTCTCCTTATCGTAAGGACCTTCCAGCTCCATGACTCCGTTCGTGGGGGAACTGGGATAGGAGAGTGTGGGCTGTGCCTATATGAACAGGGCTACTACGCCATTTGGGGGCTCAACAGTCGTTGCAGGTAATTGATAACGCTCATCTCAAGGCTTATTTACCTCTAGGACATTAGGGAGAAAATCTGCCCTTCGGAAATTCACTGTCAGCTTGCATGGGGTAGAAGCCCCATCAGAGCTGAAGGCGGTTTGCTGAGCTGTAGGCTGGTGGGGGGGAGTTGTGAGGCAGTGACGGGGCAGGAAGATCAGCATTTGGGGGGTGGTTCTTAATTAGGATCCATCTTGATTGCAGGCTCCAGCTGTTTGTTTTCCCTGTTTAACTACCCCGAACAGCTCCTCAGCACGCACTGATTAATTGATTAATAAATCAAGAGGCCTCTTTACACTGCAGCAGCAAGGGGTGGCTCAGGAGGGAGACACTCAAGACAGCCAGACACAATGATGGGAAGCAATGGGAGGTTCAGGTTGAGCGAGTCTGGTTGAGGAAGTGATGCAAACCATATGAGGCCTGTCTCGAGGCGTCCTCCTCGATGACAGGGCCAGAGAGTCTCTAATCACAACTCAGAGCGTGTAGCAGGACCTGAAACGGCCCCTTAGGGGCTGTTCCAGAACAGAGCGTCACCTCAGTTTACAGAAAAACAGGTCCCAGAGGGTTAAAAGCGTGGACTATGCCTAGATTTCTTGACCACCAGTTCATGATTTTTCACTTTAAGCCAAAGAGCCATATCCATCAATAGATTCCTATTTTCCCACGGACACAGAAGGGTTCCAGCCCCATGTTTTCACTAGGAAATGTTCATTCATTCAAACGGGATTTATTTGGGCCCCAGTATATGCAAAGATACAGTTTCTTGTTTTTTTTCACATAAGCAATGGCTTATGCTCTCAAGGCACCAAACTGTTTGGCTTCAAAAAGCCTCAAATCAATTGCTTATTTAGAATATTTTTACTAACCCAATCATATGGAAGAGGTGCCACAGAAAGGAGGCAGCTCTAAGAGAAGTCATTTCAGCCGGGCGCGGTGGCTCATGCCTGTAATCCCAGCACTTTGGGAGGCCGAGGCAGGCGGATCACAAGGTCAGGAGATCGAGACCATCCTGGCCAACATGGTGAAACACCATCTGTACTAAAATACAAAAAAATTAGCTGGGCGTGGTGGCGGGCGCCTGTAGTCCCAGCAATTCAGCAGGCTGAGGCAGGAGAATGACTTGAACACGGGAGGCAGAGGTGAGCCAAGATCACACCACTGCACTCCAGCCTGGCAACAGAGCAAGACTCCATCTCAAAAAAAAAAAAAAAAAAAAAAAGAGAGAGAGAGAGGGTGAGAAGTCATGTCTGCACATCACAGTTTATTTCCAACGCTAGCCCTTGGAGTCTGGATTTGACTCTGACCTAGGGACACAACCACTCTCCAGAAACCGCATGAGCCATCCCTGGCTCTGAGGGCCCCTCTTCTCTTTTCTTCCTTGTTTTTACTCCTCTCCCTTGAAGCACCACCTTCTTTATTCAGCTTATTGCCATTTGTGGCTCAGCTGCTGACATTTAACAAGCGGAGACTTTGGTTTCCTGCACGCCCAGTGTTGCCCCAGGCTGGGGGTCTGAGGGTGCATGAGAACAACACCCGTTCTCTGAGAGTTCACAGTCCAGAGGGCCTTCTTGGTTCCTGTACTACCTAACGCCACATGCCTCTGCTGCCACCTCTAGCCCAGTCTGTAGTGACTCACAGGACCAATCCGTACATACATGGAGCTCAGTGCTCCGCCGGGGTTCACAAGACATCAATCAGCACCAACTCCCGCTCCTCACAGCTGTCCTCCACTCACAGCTGTGCCAGCCAAAGCAAGCCCAGCGAGCACCAACAGAGCCATTCAGCACAGCTGGGCCCAACATCAATACGACCGCCACAGACAGCCAGGAAGTAGCCAACAACCCATTCCTCTCTCGTCCAGGGAAAGGCTGAGATTGAGAGTCTTTAATGAAAATGCGGTTGCTGGCTGATGTCAGAGGTGTTTCTTCAATGAAGCCACCCTTGATCTAAAACCCTTTGTGAGTTCTTATCATCAAAAGGCCTCAGTAAATCAAGTGCTTATCCACACATTATACATAAATATTTTAGTACAACTCACAACTTCAAAAAGGAATGGTCAACAGCCATAGCTTTCTGTAAGTGCTGAAATAAAGAAGATACTGCTTTAAGGGAGGGTAGTCATAAATAGGAAGAAAAGAGAAAAGGAGGCCGGGCGTGATGGCTCATGCCTGTAACCCCAGCACTTTGGGAGGCTGAGGTGGGTGGATTACCTGAGGTCAGGAGTCCGAGACCAGCCTGCCCAACATGGTGAAACCCTGTTTCTACTAAAAATGCAAAAATTAGCTGGGTTGGTGGTGCATGCCTCTAATCCCAGCTACTCAGGAGACTGAGGCAAGAGAATCTCTTGAGCCTGGGAGGCAGAGGTTGCAGTGAGCTGAGATCACACCACTGCACTCCAGCCTGGACAACAGAGCGAGACTCCGTCTCAAAAAGAGAGAGAGAGAGAAAAGAAGTCTTCAGAGCCATAGATGCCTCGAATTATACCATGCTTTCCTGATATGGACACAAAAAGAATGGCAGTGGCCCTAGGAGATGGACTAGGGCCATGTCCTCTGGATCAGCTGGCACCAAAAGAAGCATCCAGTCTGTCGTGCTGCCTAGCTCGTGGGCTTCAGAGACATCTGTATCACCTAGCTCTGATCCATCCTGGATCAGAGATAGTCTCACGGGAGCAGCGATGGGCCCACCCACAAGGTGAACTTCTATGTTTAAGGTCCCAATTTTTATTGGCACTTGGGCAACATTTTCAACCTAAAGTTTTAAGTGTAAGGATTCGATACTTAGAACACTCTTATCTTTCAGGAATATATACCAAATCATTTTTTCCCTACTTCTCCCATGAAGAGGAATACAAGAAGACACGTAGGTGGTGGAGCACCGTGGCTCACGCCTGTAATCCCAGCACTTTGGGAGGCTGAGGTGGGCGGATCACCCAAGGTCAGGTCCCCTCACTAATTTCAAAAGAAGAGAAATAAAGATAATGTGGCCAAATCTTAATTAGCCATTGTCAGAGAGGAGAATTTAAGCATCTGAAATTGAAGGATACTCCCAACATGCCAGCTCGGGGATGCTACTTCTTCCTCAGGAAAATTTTTTTTTTTTTTTGAGATGGAGTCTTGCTCTGTCGCAAGACTGGAGCGCAGTGGTGCGATCTCGGCTCACTGCAACCTCCGCCTCCCTGGTTCAAGTGATTCTCCTGCCTCAGCCTCCTGAGTAGCTGGGACTACAGGCGCCCACAACCACACCCGGCTAATTTTTTTTTTTTTTTTTTTTTTTTAGTAGAGACGGGGTTTCACCATCTTGGCCAGGATGGTCTTGATCTCTTGACCTCGTGATCTGCCCACCTTGGCCTCCCAACGTGCTGGGATTACCGGCATGAGCCACCGCACCCGGCCCTTCCTCAGGAAGATTTTGTTCGTCGATGCTTACCAGCTCCCTGACCTTTACATCTCCTGATCCGCCTGTGCTTGATGGGGTGTGAAGGACCAAGGAGACACAGAGGGTCATTCTCACCCAGAGTATTTCTCACCGCGAGACTCTCTTCGCCCCTGAATCTACACAGCAGGAGTTTGCTGATGGCGAAAGGTCAGTGTCCTTGATTCCTGTTGTTCATGAGCTCCCAGAACCACACACAAGGTATACGACCACCGCAGAGGGAAGCCAGGAACCAATCAGAACGCCTGACAAAGGAATCACGACCCATGGCTCCGGGTGGGGAAGTCACCACCCTCAAGGTTCTATCATCTGCACTGACACGACATGTGCATGGACTAAAGTCCCCAAGCGGCTCACTCTGATTGGCAAAGAGGACACAAGCACAGCGCATTCTGGAAAGACGGGAAAAGAAGAGGGGAGTGATATCTGAAAGAACACAGAGTGTGTTAGAATTAGGGTTTGCTCCAGGTGAGGCCTGAGACAGCCAAAATAACAACCGCAGTAGTGACAGCAACGAGGCCATGCCCTGAGATCGCAGGTGCACCCCTGCACCCCTGCTTGATCGCCTGCACCCCTACTTGATTAGCATGAAACTCAGGTAGAAACTTCCTTCTGTCCTACCCGGAGTCTGAACCCAAGGTTTGTCATTGTGATTCCCAGTCTGCTTTGTAAGCCCACAGCCCTTCACCCAGTGATGGTGATCACACAATGGTGCGGGCATGAACACCGCGCTGAGCACGTGAACACGCTGAATGTAAAGGCGTGAAGACATGCTGGGTAATAAGTTCACAGAGACAAAAAAAGAAAAAAACACTCTCCAGAGGAGGAAATGTTAAATGTCAGACCGCAGTTTTTCTACATAAGAAACCAAATTACCCTGGGATGTAGCAGCTGTGCTCAGCCTAAGTGATTCTGCTCTGGATTACTGCAGGGAGAGGCGATCCCATGAATGACTTCCGTTTGAACGATCGTGTTCTGCAAGCGAGGCAGCTGGGAGGGCCAAAGGCAGGTGGGAATGCGATTAATAGGGCTGCTTGCTGCAACATGTGAAAAAGGTATTGCAGAAGGTAAAGACTTTTCCACGTCAAAAGAAAAGGGAGATGTTTAATTAGAACGTAACATGATTAAGAACAGTTCATAAATGACTCAAAAGAATGGGTGAGGCATTTCTCGTCACAACCCCTGAAAATGCTTTTATTTATTTATTTTTGAGACAGAGTCTTTCTCTCTTGCCCAGGCTGGAGTGCAGTGGTGTGATTTTGGCTCACTGCATCAAGCAATTCTCTTGCCTCAGCCTCCCAAGTGGATGGGACTACAGGCGTTCACCGCCACACCCGGCTAATTTTTTTGTATTTTTAGTACCGATGGAGTTTTACTATGTTGGCCAGGCTGGTCTTGAACTCCTGACCTCAGGTGATCTGCCCACCTCAGCCTCCCAAAGTTCTGGGATTACAGGCGTGAGCCACTCTGCCTGGCCAGTTTTTATGTCCAGGTCTCATCTTTTCCAACTAGATGGTATGGACAGTGTTGACTATTTTGAAAACTTTTGGTTAAGGGTATGGGAGGTTCAAGTCCTGCTTCTATTACTTAGTAGCTGAGTGACCAGGAGCCATTTTTCACAAATCTCTCTAAGCTTCAGTCTCCTTAATGTAAAAATGGGAGTCAATAATCATACTTATTTTATTGAGTTAAGTAAGAATTAAATGTGATAATATGTGCAACATTTTTAGCACAGACCTGGCCCTTGGTAAATGCTGAATAAGTGGTAGTAATTATTATCACCCTTAAATAAATGGTAGTAATTATTATCAATGTAACTAGTCTCAGTATCTAATACAGTAACTTGTATAAATTTAGAACTTCATATAATGTTGGGATGAGGATAAGGAGGATGGTGACAATGATCTTAGGGCTGTCTTTTATCTAGGAGGATTTGGCGCTTTTGCAATTAAGAACAGAGAGGATGATAAAGAAGGGAACATATCATATTCACTTAACCACCACATCTGGTCAAGTCAAAGCCCTCTTAAATCAGCCCGGGTGCAGTGGCTCACACCTGTAATCCCAGAACTTTGGGAGGTCAAGGTGGGTGGATCACTTGAGGTCAAGAGTTTGAGACCATCCTGGCCAACGTGGAGAAACCCCATCTCTCCTAAAAATAAAAAAATTAGCCGGGCATGGTGGTAGGTGCCTGTAATCCCAGCTACTCAGGAGGCTGAGGCACGAGAATCACTTGAACCTGGGAGGCAGAGGTTGCAGTGAGCTCAGATCTCACCACTGCACTCCAGCCCGGGTGACAGAGTGAGACCCTGTCTCAGAAAAAAAAAAAAAAGAAAGAAAGAAAGAAAGAAATCACAATAGGCTGGGCCCATTGGCTTACACCTGTAATCCCAGCACTATGGGAGCCCAAAGCAAGGCAGGTGGATCAGTTGAGCCAGCAGTTCAAGACCAGCCTGGACAACATGAGGAAAACCCATATCGGAAGGAAGGAAGGAAGGGAGGGAAGGAGGGAAGGGAGGGAGGGAAGTAAGGAAAGGAGGGAAGGAGGGAAGGAATGAAGGAAGGAAGGAAGGAATCAAAATAATACTGGGTTCCTGGAGTTCCTGAGCTGACATCTCTGAGCATGGCCTGAATGACTCTCAGCTTCCTTCTCTATTTTAAAAGATGAAACACTCCAAGAGGCGTTCATTTCCATGGAACTAAGAATCTGATGCTTCTCACTCTAACAGCCTACTGAAAACGCTTCCTCATTTCTCCCACAAGAGTGACTAATGCTTCGTAGGGGCTTTGCTAGATGTTCGATTTGAATCACAGACCCATCAACTAACTGGTCAGTATCTCCTAGGAGCTGCCAACCTTTTCCCAGAAGATGTAGAAAGAGAAACCTGGCCTGGACGCGGTGGCTCACTCTTGCAACCCTAGCCCTTTGGGAGGCCGAGGCAGGAGGATCACTTGAGGTCAGGAGTTCGAGACCAGCCTGGCCAACATAGTGAAACCCCGTCTCTACTAAAAATACAAAAATTAACCAGGTGTGGTGGTGCGTGCCTGTAATCCCAGCTACCCGGGAGGCTGAGGCAGGAGAATCACTGGAACACAGGAGGCGGAGGCTGCAGTGAGCCGAGACTGCGCCACTGCACTCCAGCCTGAGCAACAGAGCGTGACTCCATCTCAAGAAAAAAAAAAAGAGAGAGAAACCTGATTTCACATCAGCGTATCTTCAACCCTGAAAATCTTGTTCTCCAGTATATCCCTTGGCTGTTGGGAAATAGGATCCCTTCACAAATAGATTCAGAGCTTAAGATGGGAAAGTAGATTCCTACTACGTACTTAAAATGTTTCCCTTAACTTTAAAGTTCATGTTCAACATGACACAAAATAAAGTGCTGAACTATACGCATGTAAGCACTAATCAAGATTATACTAGAATGCACTAAAATATTACTTTCAAATGACTGAAGCCCATCTAGACTTGATGTATTTTTTACATGTAGGCTTTAATGTGCCAGCAGGCAGCAAATGGAATTATTTTCAATCTGCAAGTAGTTGTATTAGTATAAGGCTATCAAGGATTCTGTTAATTATCTAATTATAAAATTGCTTAATGTTTCTTTTTCTTTTAATTGACTTCATATTCATGAAATGCTGCATAAATGTACTTGGCTGTTTTGTTTTGTTTTGTTTTGTTTTGAGACGGAGTCTCACTCTGTAGCCCAGGCTGGAGTACAGTGGCGCGATCTCGGCTCACTGCAAGCTCGGCCTCCCAGGTTCACACCATTCTCCTGCCTCAGCCTCCCGAGTAGCTGGGACTACAGGCACCCATCACCACGCCTGGCTAATATTTTGTATTTTTATTAGAGACAGGGTTTCACTCTGCTAGCCAGGATGGTCTCGATTTCCTGACCTCATGATCCGCCCTTGGCTGTGTTTTCTTAAACTTACTACAAAAAGATTAAATACCTAAAATTTGGTGGTGTTGCCATTGTTTTTAAAAGGTAAAATTTTGGCAGGGTATGGTGGCTCACGCCTGTAATCCCCACACTTTGGGAAACTGAGGTGGGCAGATCTGAAGTTCGAGACCAGCCTGGGCAACATGGTGAAATCCCAACTACAAAAAATACAAAAATTAGCCAGGTGCGGTGGTGCATGCCTTTAGTCCCAGCTACTCAGGAGGCTGAGGTGGGAGGATCCCTTGAGCCCAGGAGGCTGAGGATGCAGTGAGCTATGATGACGCCACTGCCATCTAATCTGGGCAGCAGAGCGAGACCATGTCTCAACACAAAAAAGAAAAAAGATGGAATTTTAACAAATACATCATTTGACCATGTCCTACAAAAATTTAAGTACTTGCCCCATTCCCCTGTGACCCAGTGTTTTGGGCCCCACACAATTTTCTTCAGGCCACCTTGTCACACGTCCCTCACTTCCCCCAGGAGCACCAGCACCAGCCTCCCTCTGTCTCATGGAAGCCCCTACATTTCCCAGCCTCTGCACCTTCACTTTGGTTCCTGCCCTGATGATAACTCCCTCTCTCCCTCATCAACCATGAGAAAACTTTTGGGGGTCATGGATATGTGCAGTATTATAATTGTGGGGATAGCGTCATGGGTGGATACATATGTCCAAAAATATCAAAGTGTACGCTTTAAATGTGTACCATTCACTGGATGTGCATGGTGAATTATGTATCACACTAAAAAAACCAAAGTCTTGTTCATTCATCCTAAGGCCCCGCTCTTCCGCGAAGTCTGACTCCCAGAAGGGATGTCTCCCTTCACTGACTCACACAGCACTTCTCTAAGTCATTCATAGCACTTAGCAAACATTTCCTTACTTAAGCTGTACATGTTCTATCTCCACCATCACAGTGAATTCCTAGGGGGCAGAAACCGTGCCATAATTTGAATAGTAATGATAACTTCTACTCTTACCCACCTGGAGTCCACTCTCAAGAAAACAGACAAGGTGATCCTTTTCAATCTTAAATCTGATCCTGCCAGTCCTCGGCTTAAAATCCTCCCCTGGCCCCCGCCCCACTTCCTTCAGAGTCAAAGTCAATGTCCCTGCCATGGGCTCTGCAGGACTCGGCCTCCTGGTCCCTCTCTGCCCTCAGCTCCTACACTTGTTCCCTGACTCAGCCTGAACCAGCCATGAAAGCCTTCTGGCTGTTCCTTGAACACACCAGGAATGTCCACTCCCAGCTCAGTGACATTGTACTTGCTGTTCCTCCTGCCCAGAAAACTCTCACCTGCAGATATCTGCCTGGCCATCTCTTACCGCCTTCAAGGTCTCAAGGATCACCTTTTCAACGAGGCCTTCCTGGATCATCTAGTGATACTGCAAACTAGCCCCAACACTCCCTAACCACCTTTCTCTGCTTTAATTCTCTCTACAGCATGGCCACCTTCTAACTACATTCCGTTCATTGTCTGTCTCCCCCTGCAAAATATAAACTAGGTGACAGCAGGCACATTTGTCTGTGTTGTTCACTGCGGAATGCGTCATGCCTAGAATAATGCCTGAAGTCAAGTAGGCACACAGAAGCCATGTGTCGAATCAATCAATGACTCGATGAATCCATTTTCAGTGAGAGAGGTTCCCACATTGAATAGCTTCATCTTTCTTAGGAATTTTTTAATTTTTTTTTTCTTTTGAGACAGAGTCTCACTCTCTCACCCAGGCTGGAGTACAATGGTGCAATCTCGGCTCACTGCAACCTCTGCCTCCTAGGTTCAAGCAATTCTCCTGCCTCAGCCTCCCCAGTACCTTGGGATCACAGGCGCCCGCCACCACGCCCAGCTAATTTTTGTACTTTTAGTAGAGACGGAGTTTCACCATGTTGGCCAGGCTGCTCTCGAACTCCTGACCTCAGGTGATCCACCCACCTCAGCCTCCCAAAGTGCTGGGAATACAGGCATGAGCCACTGTGCCTGGCCTTTCTTAGGAATTTTTATCCCTTTTTGCTTTTGTCACGTTTGCTAGTATAGTTGTGTTTTTTTGCTTGTTTCTGCTACACTTTAGTGTCCTGGGAGTACTGGGAGGGCTCGTGTGTTCAGAAAAGCCTCTAGGGCCTGTTTCTCAAAGTGTGACCTCACCACGCCCCCTGCGCAGAGTCACTTGGGAAGCTCACAGTGAGGCAGGTTTCCAGGTCCCCTCTCAGACCCCCTGTATCAGAATCTCTGGGGAGCCGGGCTCTGGAATCTGCGTGCTGACGAGCACCCAGGTGACGGTGTGGTGTGCTGTCACAGAGGAGGGGATGGGAAGGAAGGCCAAGAGGAGGCAGGGAGAAGGAAGAAGTAGACAGGGACATCTGCCTCTCCCATTCAAGGGCCTCACCCCAGCTGTGGCCTTCAGACAGGAGCCGAGGATTTCATGAGACGCTCTACCCTCCACCCAGTGAATTGCAACTCCTCCAAACACCTGAGCGTGGGGGCTGCTGCTTATTATACAAAATAATTCAAGACAATGATAAATAGCCCCGGAGACATAGCCCAGAGACTAAAGGTAGAATGCAGATGTCTTTTCACCAAATTCTCTCTCTACTCCAATGGTTCTTGACCGCTGGTAAGTTTTTTAAATTCTTTCTTCTTCTTCTTCTTTTTTTTTTTTTTTTTGAGACAGGGTCTCACTGTGTTGCCCAGGCTGAAATGCAGTGGCGTGATCACAGCTCACTGCAGCCTCACTCTCCTGGGCTCAAATGGTCCTCCCACCTCAGGCTTCCAAATAGCTGGGACTACAGCTGCACACCACCATGCCTGGCTCATTTTTGTATTTTTTGTAGAGATGGAGTTTCGCCATGTTGCCCAGGCTGGAGATGGTGATTTTGATGCTCAGGGGACATTAGGAAATATCTGGAGACATTTTTGGTTGTCATAACTGGGAGAGGGCTACTGACGTCTAGTGAGTAGAGGCCAGGGATGCAGCTAGACATCATACACTGTACAGAGCAGCACCCCGCATCCCAGCACCTGAAAAAAGAATCACTGGCCGGGCGCAGTGGCTCACGCCTGTAATCCCAGCACTTTGGGAGGCCGAGATGGGCGGACCACCTGAGGTCAGGAGTTCGAGACCAGCCTGGCCAACATGGTGAGACCCTGTCTCTACTAAACAAAATACAAAAAATTAGCCAGGTGTGGTGGTGGGTGCCTGTAGCCCCAGCCACTCAGGAGGCTGAGGCAGGAGGATCGCTTGAACCTGAAAGGCATAGGTTGCAGCGAGCCGAGATCGCGCCAGTGCACTCTAGCCTGGGTGACAGAGCGAGACTCCGTCTCAAAAATAAATAAATAAATAAAATAAAATAAAAATCATCCAGTCCTAGATGTCCGTGGGGTCAAGGTTGACACCCGGGCCTAGGTGCTCTCCTCTGATTCCTTCTCACCTGCTCTCACTGGAGATGAATCTCGATGCAGGAGGGCAAGGTGGGTGTTCTAAGCCCAGAAGCTAATGCCGGCTCTCCTCTACCTCAGTTTCCCTTATGTGGAGGTACTGAACTCTAAACAGCATGCTCTCTTCCGTTGTAGCTGGCAATGGGGTTAGAAGTGGTGGCTGTGTATGGCCACGCCCAAGGTGGACACAGTGCCCCTGGCTATGAAAACCCCACGGGCTGGTGGAATGCAGATCCTGACCGCCTGGCCCAGC
The DNA here is from genome assembly GCF_000001405.40 of Homo sapiens. Classification (NCBI taxonomy): domain Eukaryota; kingdom Metazoa; phylum Chordata; class Mammalia; order Primates; family Hominidae; genus Homo; species Homo sapiens. Next base: position 245,354,571 of record NC_000001.11, on the reverse strand, counting down.
CTCCAACTCCCCCGCCATCTGGCTACACAGGACATTGCCCTTCCTTGTGACAGAGGCGCCGCTGACAGTGTCACCAGCTGTTCACGAGAGAGTGTGGTGGAAGAGGCTGATGCGGCCCTGAGGTCCTGGCCATGTGAAACCGTGGATCTGGTTCATGGCTTACGAGGCTGGTCACAGAGCCTGTCATTGGCATCTCTGCCTCTTGGCCTGGGTTTCAGAGGGGACGGCTGAGGTGGCTTTTACTATGAAATCACTTCAAGCCTCTGGCCGGATTTACATCATGGTAACTTTGTAGTTTCCTTCTCGGAGAAGCAAAACAAAAGCCACGATAAGGCAAAGTCATCTTGAAGGTATAATTTCGTACAATTCTAAAGAAAACCAAAACTTGCTTTGTTCCCTCATAAAACCACATTTATGTAGCTCAGACCTCATGCCAGATTGTGCCAGGATGTGCTTGGTGGGGGAGTCATGAAGCGTTTGGCGGGAGGTGCCCCAGGCTGAGGAGACCCTCAGAGGATAAGGACCTGAGCTGTATGTTTTTGTTTTCACTCATAAACATCAGAAATAACAACACAGCCTTAAGCAGAGGATGTAAAATCCTGGCAACATCTGAACTTGGGGGTCTACATTCACAACTAACAACTCCAAGACCTACCTGTGAGGTCCAGAATTTCACCGTCCATCCTGAGACATCGTGTTTGCTTATTTGGGGACTGATGAATTAATCCTAGGCTACTCAGCCACACTTCTTACCCCTCTTTCTTCCATAATGATCCTTAGTGAAAAGGTCTGAACTGAAAATTCACTGAGATGAGCAAAGCATCACCAAAGCAGCTTTAAATACAGCAGGATGGTGGTGGGGAGGGCGGGAGGAGCAGGAAGCATTTCTCCAGGAACTTGGCCACACCTCTCTGCCAGCTCCAGTCAGTAACTGTCATTCTTGAGAAGTCAGTTGCAACCAACTATTACACACCCACGAAGTCAGAGAACCGGCCAGCCATTCTCAGCTTAGACCCCCACCTCATGAATCATGACCTGGGTGGCTGCAGGGCAATGAGGATTTCTGGGCCTGACCACAAGGATGTGCCACGATCCGAATCTTCCTCGGTGTGTGCCACCCCTACCGCCCCTCCACCAAATAAAGCTAACCTCTTTAGAGGCTGCCATCTTTACTGGCTTCTCAGAGAACTTTCATGGTAGGGAGAGCCGGCAGAACATCTTGAGCGTCTGAGCAAAGGCTGAGGCTGTCTTTTTTGAATGAACCTTCTAGATGTTCCCACACCACCTCAACCACAACAAGCCCAAGCTAGTATGTGAAAGAGGGAGAGGGGGTGAGTAAACCAGGACCCCTCTCCCTGCTGCCTCTAGTCATTCCAACACACAGGAGCCTAGAGTTTGACAGAGCACAGCTGTACTTCTCTGCTATACTGTTAAACTGATTTGTCCTCACATTTTAAAAGACAGCCTTCTGACTATCTTTAACAGATCCTGTAAGATACAGATTTGAATCAATCAATTCATATACATTGTCTACTTATATAAATTAATTCTACAAGAAACTTAAAACGATAGCCACTACAACTCCAAAACCTCTAACGTGATAATCGTATGAATAATATGAGCAGACTCAGTGGAAAAGAGTAAAAAGCAAAAGTCTATAGCAAGAGAGCCACTTCTCACCTTTTCCCTACTCTACACACCCACCCACGCCCACCACACACACACACACACACACGTGTACATCTCTTTAGGAAGAAACCACTAAGATAGTTCTAGTCGTGGGGTTGGGGAACCCGTACTAGTAAGACAGGCTCAGGAGTTGAGATTCCCAAAAATGCGAAGAAAACTCACCTCCCCGTCCCCACCTGCCTCTATCACTTTTCCTTGAATCGATTCTGAAAAAGTTAAAAAAATGTTCGTAAAGTGATTGTTGTGGTCCAAAAAAGGATTAAAATGACAAAACTGTACTCCAAGTATTTCCCAGGTGACTTTAAACTGGAAGTAGGTGGGCCAGGCACAGTGGTTCACGCCTATAATCTCAGCACTTGGCGAGGCCAAGGTTGATGGATTACTTTCAGTTAGGAGTTTGAGACCAACCTGGCCAACATTGTGAAAACCCATCTCTACTGAAAATACAAAAATTAGCCAGGTGTGGTGGTGGGTGCCTGTAATCCCAGCTACTCAGGAGGCTGAGGCAGGAGAATTGCTTGAGCCTGGGAGGCGGAGGTTGCAGTGAGCTGAGATCGCACCATTGCCCTCCAGTCTGAGTGAAGGAATGAGACTCTGTCTCAAAAAGGAACACAAACAAACAAACAAACAAAAAACTGGAGGTAGGAATGGTAGAATAAAAACCTAGAAGACACTTTAAAATCAATTTTAACTTTGGTTTTGGTTACAGGTTTCAATACAATTTGAGAATATTTGAGAAACACAGTATGGGTGGGACTTGGACCTTCCCTACTGATAGACAATCAGAAGAAATGAAAGATTGAGGGACGATCTCTCTCACACACACAGCCACATTCTAAAACTTTCAAATCTCATTTTTTCATGTAGTGCTTTCCAATATAAATGCAGACAGGTAGGTTTTTGCCTAGTTAATCTATTCATTCAATATATCCATTCATTTACCTCTTCACTCACTAATTTCATTCATTTATAAAACACTTATTAAGTGTCTAATTGGGCCAGGTCTTTTTGTAAGTGCTAGAAACAAACATGGTCTCAACCTTTATGGTGTATTACAAAACAAGCTGTAATCAAAGGCTCAAAACAGAAAATAGCTCCTCATCTTCATCTTGGGAGCTGATGAAGGAGTCAACAGACTGGCCAGAGCTCTGGACCTGAATTCTGAAGACCTGGGTTTTAGTCCAAGCTTTGCCTTTTCTAGTGTCACAGCCTTGGCCAAATCATTCAATCTTCTTGAGCCTTGGTTTCCTCATCAGTAAGACTGGGATAACACTTATCCCCTGCTGCTGATGTAAAGATTAAATGGAATCACAGACATCAAAGCACTTTGTGAAGAGCTCTATAAACATAACATGTTATTACAAATGCTGAGTTTTCCCTATGTTTAACACGTGAAAAGGCATAGCTGAGTTTTCCCTATGTTTAAGACGGGAAAAGGCATAGCTGAGTTTTCTCTTTGTTTAAGACATGAAAAGGCATAGCTGAGTTTTCCCTATGTTTAACACGTGAAAAGGCATAGCCAGGGAAGAAGCCACACACTTCTCATTCAATGCACTTCCCAGTTTGCAACTAGGGAGCTCAAGGCCCACGTATCAACAGCGATGACAGAAAAACAGGACCAAAAAGGGCCCACCCAGGTAAGCCTTTGTTTGGCTCTAGAGAGAGGCAAAGATGAAAGTATGAAGCCCAGCTCAATGTCCGGCTCATTTTCCAGACCCTCCATGCGGACAGGGAAACGCGCTCAGCTAAGTTTATCCCAATGCATAGGTCAGAAGAGATAAAGCCAGAAGTGGCTCAGTGTCTTCCCCGGTCTACAGTAAGATCCATGTCTTGTGTGCTCTGTTCCATGCTTGTTAGAATACATGTGAGGAGTCAATTCCTTGCCCTCCTCCCCTCACTGCTTTGGTGACCAGGAAGAGGAGTGGGATTTTCCAGAAGGACAAACCAACAGAGTCCCACATCATTTGAACTTCCATTATCAGCCTACTTATAAGCCAAGGAAAGAGAATCATTAAATGCTTTGGAGATAGTTACCCATGAAGACTTCACACATATATACACTGCGATCTTGGAATTGTCTCAAAGCAGCAGACCAAAGAGAAGAGATGTCCCCTCTCGGGCAGGTCTGGTGGTTCCTCCTGCACAACCTGTGGTCAGTTTTCCCCAGAGACCATACCTGGGATCCTGGAGCAGGGCCTGAGTGCTCCGTGACCAATAAAATGGAAAGTACCCCCAGGGCATGGCTGGCTAGAAAAACACTTGGGATGCAGCTTAACCTGGGCTTTGATGGTCCCAGGTCATATGGTAGACCAGAGTCTACCCATGGTCAAAGATCAGCTGTGGGGACGGCATTCCTGCTCAGGGGACAGCAGCCCAAAGATGAGAAGGACACTTTGCACTGGGATGAGACTGGAATCAACACGTTCTTCAGGACTGGCAGAATGTTCAGTGGCCCAAGACGTAAGGCAGACTTCAGAAAAGGTCGAAGGGTTTCATGGTGGTCTGTGGAGCTACATAAGGACCTGCCGCTTGGTGAGTCCTTAAGTTATCCAGAGGTGCCTGAACTAACACAGGTAAAGTCACCAGACCTCCAGTAGAAAGAAGGAGAATCTGATATGGCAAGATCTGTGTCTTCATGTGGCCATTGACCAGATGAATGACTCTGCTACGCACAGAAGGTCCTCAGCCCTGTGCACACCTCTGAACAAGCTAAGCTACCCCAGACTCAGGCGGGTCCACCAACCCGGACAACTCCAGCCCAGCAGTCTTTGGAACCGCTGGTTGAATTTCCGTAGGGGAAATGTGATGTGCAAGTATTTATGAAAAAAAAATATATATATATATACTCTCTGCACTTTTTTGTACTCCCAATGATGTGGTCAGGAGGTTACCAACAAGATTTTAAAAACTGCTCTAAGACAAAGCCTTTGGGAGTATGATCTTGTAAATGGGTTTTAGGTGCAATTCCTTACTGATTTTTCACAAAAGCCTGTTCTCAAAGGACTGCAGAATTGTGTTCATTATACTTGAAACAAAGATATGCTCAATATTAACTCCACTGTGTTCAGAAGCTGAAAACAGAGCTCAGCTGTAGACAGTGGCTTGATTAATACCAGATCTTTCCACATTATTATTTACAAGGAGAGTTTTAGTTGCTTTTTCTGCAAATAGTATAACCTGATTTATTGTTAACTATGCCTGGCCATTTTTCTTAGAACCTAATTCATTAAGCCAGTATTACTGAGGCATTCTGAAAAAACCTTTAAACCCGAGGCAGTTAATATCAGAGTGAGTTTTGTTGGCTTTTTTTTTTTTTTTTTTTTGAAGTTTATTTCTCTTAAACAAATCAACATTAATGAGTGAGTACTGTGTGTTTCATAGGTTTAGGGATGTGGTAAAACAGGATTATTCAAGTTTGTCTTTTAAAATTATTGTGGTCCTGTAGTAAAACAACCTGTTAATGTTATTATTTAAATTATTTCCATCCATTACCATCAACGGAAAACATGCTGTAAAATCCTCTGGGATCTTTTATTACAATTTCAGGTACATTTATAAGTGTCTTAAAACTTAAAGGAAGAGGAAAGAAGACATACCTTTATGATTTTATTCAAGTATCAATGTGAATCTATTTACAATCAAAGAAATTTACTTTTAAAAAGACCAAGCACATGGAGTTTTGAAAGACATATGTCTATGCCTTCCCTGTGGCAACTTCATTGATTCATTCAACAGAATATTTATCGAGCACCTATTATACCCAGTTGTGCGATAGAGCCATGAACAAACCAAGGTCCCTGCTCTCACGGAGGTCTCTTCTGAAGCAAAACCAGTAAACAAGCACACACAGGTCACGTCACATGTGACCTATGGAGAACAGTAAGGCAGGGCATGGGAAAAGGGACTTTGTGTATTGGAATGAGGCCCTTTTCCACAGCATGCTCAGAGTTGGACTCTATTCAGGGACACTGGAGCAGAGACCGGAAGGCAGTGAGGCTGTGAGCCACAGCAGGCATCGTGGGGAAGCGACCCAGGCAGGGGAGCAGGCAGACATGAAGGACTGGGTGGGGGCGAGTTGGCGTAACTGGGAACAGCAAGAGGCCGGCGTGGCTGGAGTGGGATGAATGAGGAGGGGAGATGGTTGGACATGAGGCCAGAGAGACCGCTGTAAACTGAACGTGGTGTTGCCCCACAGAATTCATATATTGAAACCTAGTCCCCAACATGATGGCTGGAGGTAAAGCCTTTGGAAGGTGATCAGGTCATGAGGGTGGAGTCATTAGGAATGACATTAGTGCTCTTAGAAAGGGGACCCAGAGAGCTTCCTCGCCCCCTCCACTGTGTGAAAACACAATAATGTGCCATCTATGAACAAGAGGGCCCTCCTCAGACACTCAAGTTGCTGGTGCCTTGGTCTTGGACTTCCCAGTCTCCAGAACTGTAAGAAATACATACATTTCTGTCGTTTATAAGCCACCCAGACTGTGGTGTTTTTTTATATCAGCCTGAGCAGACTAAGACCAACAGTCTCAAGTTCAGGGTCAAGGTCCAGGCTAGGGATACAATTTTGCAAATCAATAATATACTGATAGCATTGGAAGTTACGGGCCTGGGAGGGATGGCATAGGGAGTCAGTGCAGGCAGAGCAAAGGTCTGATGAATGATCATTCCACGATTTATTTAGAGCAGATGAGAGGAAACCAGCACAAGGTATTGAGAAGGAATAGGTAGTGAGCTCAAAGGAGAAATCAAAAAGTGATGTTCAGAAAACAAGGCAAAGAAAGTCATCCAGGAAGGAGGGAATGATCTACGGGCAAATGCTGCAGATAGATCAAGTAAAATGAGGACTGAGAACTGACCATTTTATACCACTTATGGCATAGAAGGTAAATTCTTCAACCTCTCTGTTTCTCAGTTTCCTCACCCATAACATGGGGAAAATAACGGTACCCGCCTTAGGGCTTAAGCAAGTGAATACACGTAAAACACTTAGAACAGTAACTGGCACATAGTAGGTGCCAGTCAACAAATATTTGTAGAATGAATGAACGTGTTATAATGATCAGATTACAATTATTATCTATTACAAATGTTATTTAGTCTTGATTATCATCAGTGACCTTCATAAGAGCTTTTGATTGAGTGGTGGCAGCTAAAAGATAAATGGAGTGGGTTCAAGAGAGGATAGAGATGAGAAACTGGAAACAGAGAGTATAAACACGCATTTTAAAAATAAATTTGCTGCAAAGATAATCAAAGAAATGGAACAGGCCAAGTGCAGTGGCTCACGCCTGCTATCCGTTTAGGGGGAGACAGGAGGATTGCTTGAGCCCGGGAGTTCAAGACCAGCCTGGAAAATGTAGCAAGACCCCATCTCTCAAAAAAAATTTAAAAATTAGCCGGGTATGGTAGCATGCACCTGTAATACCAGCTACTTTGGAGGCTGATGAAGGAGGATGACTTGAGCCCAGGAGTTCAAGGCTACAGGGCTACAGTGAGCTGTGGTTACGCCACTACGCTCCAGCCTGGGTGACAGGTAAGACCCTGTCTCTAAAAAAAAAGAAAGAAAGAAAGAAAGAAAAGAAAGGGGACAGTAGTTAATGAGATGTGTGAGGTTAAGAGAAATTTATTTTTTAAGTTGGGAGTTATAATAGCATTTTTGTATGCTAAAAGGAGTGATTCAATCAAGAGAGAAGAAATGATGATACAGAAAGAGGAGAACGCTCTGCCAGAGGGTGCTCGAGCCCACTAGAAGTTAATGGTCATAAACTGGAAACAGTCACCACGGCTGTGTTCTGTTCCACCCAGGCTCAGCTGGGCACAGACAGGTACAGAGGACATGGGCAACTGGATTTTACCAAGGCTGTAGTTTTGCAAGGAGAGTGGGATGAAGAGAGAGATGGGTAAAGAAGTTAATGTTATAAGATAGTAAAGCAAGGTAATGATTAGATAATCAAGGACTCCAAACTAGACAATGAGAGACATGAAGACATGAGGTAGGTGAGAAAGGGGGAAAAGATGATAGGATGGATGGATTTTGCACTTCAGTGAGGTGGAAGAATTGTTTTCAGTCAAGGTTTTAGGAGAGAAGAAAGAGGTGGTGATCAGAGAATGGGATGCTTGAAATGAGATGATGGAGCTGGAGCATAACAGATAATGACTGCATTATCAGTCTTTACAACCGGTAATAAGCTCTAGGGTATAGTTACGGAAATGGGGGGCTGAGGTTGAGTGAAGAACAAGGTCATCGGAGAAGAGGAGATTAAGGACCTGAGAAGCCAGAGTACCGAAGGATTGTCTACAAGAACACTGAAATCACAGGTGTTACTGTCTGACAAGTAGGGTTGGTGTACTGATAGCACTCCAGGAGCGTCAATCCACAAGGAACAAGGTGGCATGGATCAGAGATGAATAGATGACTGCAACAATGATCTGGTGGCCAGAGATGCAAAGCCAGGGGTCTCCAGGAGGAGGGAAGGATGATCATGGAGCAGTGATGAGGCGCTAGCACCAAACGTGGTGGTTCAGGGTGTGGGGACAAAGCAGATGTGGCTTGAGAGGACTTCGGGGAGCAGTTAGGAAGATAAGGTAAAGGGACTGTATTAGTCTGTTCTTGCATTGCTATAAAAAAATACCTGAGGGCCAGGTGCGGTGGCTCACGCCTGTTATCCCAGCACTTTGGGAGGCCGAGGCAGGTGGATCACGAGGTCAGGAGTTCAAGACCAGCCTGGCCAAGATGGTGAAACCCTGACTCTACTAAAAATACACACACACAAAAAAAAATTAGCCAGGTGTGGTGGCAGGTGCCTGTAATCCCGGCTACTCGGGAGGCTGAGGCAGGAGAATCGCTTGAACCCAGGGGGCAGAAGTTGCAGTGAGCCGAGATCATGCCACTGCACTTCAGCCTGGGAAACAGGGTAAAACTCTGTCTCAAAAAAAAAAAAAAAGAAAGAAAGAAAGAAAAAGAAATACCTGAGACTGGGGAATTTACAAGAAGAGAGGTTTCACTGGCGCACGGTTCTACAGGCTGTCCAGGAAGCATGGTGGCATCTGCTTCTGGGGAGGCCTCAGGCAGCTTCCAATCGCGGCAGAAGGCAAAGTGGGAGCAGGCAGTTTACACCGTGAAAGCAGGAGCAAGAAAGAGCAAGGAAGGAGGCGCCACACACTTGTAAACAACCAGATCTCACGAGAACTCACTCACTATCACGAGAACAGCAGCAAGGGGAACGGTGCTTAGCCATTCGTGAGAAACCACCCCCGAGATCCAGCCACCTCCCACCAGGCCCCACCTCCCACGCTGGGATCACAACTGAACATGAGATGTGGGCAGGGACACAGATCCACACCATCACGAGGACCTCTCAGGAAAGGCGCTGAGGGTGTGGGGAATTTTGCTGATAACGTGCTGTGTGTTCCCGTGGAAAGGCGTGGTGAGTAGGAGAGAGGTGCGGAGGGGGACGAGGATTTTCCGAGTCTCAGCTTCCTGTTGGGAGAGGCATAAACAGAGACGCAAGGCTCGAGGTGGTTAGATCTGATGTTTCCCAGACAACTGTGTGTGAGGCTGTGAAGTCGCAGAAGGAGGGAGGGGATGAGGTTTCTCCCAGGAGTGGCCTCTGGGGCGCCACCTTCACTCCAGCTGCGGGTAGGGCAGGGGTGGGGTGAGGGCTTGTGGGCTCTTCATTATAGAAAACACCTGCAAGGTAACCAGCGTGAGCATCTCCTCACTTGCGCCTATGGCCCAAACATGACATTCAAATATGAGTCAATGGTCACAAGGTTGACTGAGCGAGAGAATGCAAGAGAAGAAAATTTACCCTTGCTGCTGGGGAATAGCTCAGAATACGAATGTAGTGCCATCTCCACGTGTGAAGATACCATGGAACCCTCCATCTCCTGCAGAATTAGCTACAGTGTGTACGCGGAGGCATCGGGTGGGGTATAGAATGAACTCAACTGAAGCCGGGGGATAGAAGGAAAGAAGCGGTATCACCTGTTTTTCCACGAATCAACGTAGATCAGTCCGAAAAATGTAACTGTGAGCTAAAAAGTCAAGTTGTCAAGGGATACGTCCAGCCTGATACCACTCACACAACACATGGCCGCGGTATGCAGTCTGTCTGTATCCTCAGGCTTCTCACACACTGGTAAAGATTATCTGTGCGTCTAAGCAGAACCTAAGGCTGCCTGGCGGAAGGCCAGCATCCCAGCAGAAGAACTGGGCAATAGAGAAGTGGCGGAGCCCAGGAGTGTGGCAATTACTGAAGCAGAGAAGGACTCCAGGGTCATCCCAGAAGCCAGAGTGATTGCCCTTTTCCAGCCAGGAAAGCTCATTATCCACATTCATGTACAGGATACATTTCCTTTTTTTTTTTTTTTTTTTTTTTTTTTGAGACGGAGTCTAGCTCAGTCACCCAGGCTGGAGTGCAGTGGCGCGATCTCGGCTCACTGCAGGCTCCGCCCTCCGGGTTCACGCCACTCTCCTGCCTCAGCCTCCCGAGCAGCTGGGACTACTAGAGGATACATTTCTATGAACTGTTTTTAAAGGGGGATATGACTCTTTTTTTTCCAAACAAAATCTTACACAGAAGGCTAATGAATGAATGAAATTAAGAGATGGAAGAAAAATAAAGAAAGGAGAGAGGGAGGAAGGGAGGAGAGACAGAGAAACAGGGAGAGAAAAAAGAAAAGGAAAGAAAGAGATAGGGAGGGAGACAGGGAGGGGGAAGGAGAGACAGAGAAACAGGGAGAGAAAGAAAGGAAAAAAGAGAAGGAAAGAAAGAAAAGAGGGAGGGAGGGAGGCAGCGAGGCAGGGAGGAAGGAGGGAAGGAAGGAAAAAAAATCACAGTAGTTCTAGTTAAAGCATAGCAAGGCCAGAGCCCTACCTGCACCCCAAGAAAGCCCAGAGATTCTGCTAAGGAAGCCCTTGGCCCCCCCGAATTGCAGCTACAGAGGACTGGATGTGTAGGAAGTATTGTGAATTTCATTATTTTTTAACACTGTTACCTTCATCAGTTGTGACAGCAGAACAAAGGTTTTCTTATTTGTTTTCTGTCTTTCAACACATAAATCAAAACCATACCTCTGCCAATTCTTCTCCTTTACAGGTGGAAGGTTGCAGCTTCATGAATTATAAGTCAACATCTCACGCCCAAATATATCTATTTTACTTGCAATTTTTCTGGCCTGTCAAAACCGTCAAGCACTGACAAGAATAATACACTGGGTTTTGCGGCTGGCACGAATGAAGTCGTTATCAATTATGAGAAGAAAAATTGCGTTTAAATGTCAATTACAAAGATGACTCCTACCTATAACCTACTGCCAAAAATGTAAAAGCTAAAGTTTAAGAATTTAGCATGAACTTTATGAAAATTCTATATTCATTTTCATAGCAGCCTTCGTTATGCTGATTTGAACACAGACCTGAGTGTATACAGGATAATAATTACCCTGGCAGAGCAGAGGCAGAATGGAGATATTCCTCATAAAGACATAAATTGTGGTAGGAAAAAAAAAAAAGATTGCATGGAACTTTTTAATGTTTTAAATGGTTTTTATGTATTAAAGGCATGAGGTGGCCCTGATCTGAAATCTCACATGATCCTCCTGTAAATGCATTAACTATCTTCTTCCAACACATCACACCCAAATAACTAATACACTCCACAGACCAAAGGAAGTCATTTATCAAATTCAACCATAAACAAACTTATAGTGAAGACAGACACCTGAAATATATATTTATGGCTCTCCCTTTCCAAAATAAACACTAATCTAAATTCTTTTTTTTTTTTTTTGAGATGGAGTCTCGCTCTGTTGCCCAGGCTGGAGTGCAGTGGTGTGATCTCGGCTCACTGCAAGCTCCGCCTCCCAGCTTAAAGCAATTCTCCTGCCTCAGCCTCCCAAGTAGCTGGAATTACAGGCGCCCACCACCACACTCGGCTAATTTTTGTATTTTTAGCAGAGACGGGGTTTCACCATGTTGGCCAGGCTGGTCTTGAACTCCTGACCTCAGGCGATCTGCCACCTTAGCCTCCCAAAGTGTTGGGATTACAGGCATGAGCCACGGCGCCTGGCACATTAATCTAAATTCTTAATCTCTGACTCTTCTCCAAATCCTATGTCAGGTTGACGTCTCCATCCTCCCTCCCTCCCCTTCTTCTTGCCAAGGCCTCATTGACCTGCATCATCACCTCCCAGGGTTCTGCAGTACTGAGTTCTAATTCTGGTAAACCAGACTGGATTGCTCAGAAATTGTAGCATGGTCCCTTTACAGGCCTCCAGCCCCGGGTCTTTGGGAAAAATAGGGAAAAAACAAAAACAAAAACAAAAACCAGAATTGACTTCAGAAGAAAGGTAGGGAGCAAAATGACTAGAGGCCATAGACGGAGGAGCCACCGGTGGGTGACGGTCCCATTCTCTCCTTGTCCAGACTGCTCTCCCTAGATGCTTTAGGCAGCATCATTAACACTCTTAATTACACAGCAACATACTTTTTGCAAAAGTGAATTTATATAAAAACACTGAAGACTGTCTCTGCACTTTTCTTTCTGCACCCCTGGATGGAGAAAACCACGCGGCTCACTTCTTCATCTTGGTGCAATGGTTGCTGGTCTTGAAATAAAAACTCACTGAAGGCAAGAAGCCATTTACTTGGTTAAATGTGTGAAAAATTGGTCAGGGGTACATTCTACTACTAATGTGCGCACAATCTGTATTTAATATCACCATCCATCCAGGGCTCAGAATTAAATGTCTACGGCCAAAGACTAACAAGGTTTGGGGATGTTTTCCAGTTAGTCACCTGGTATGGTTTCCCAAGCACAATTTCTGGTTTACGGTTCAAGAGGAAACAAAGGATTGCTTTCAACTTGGTATGTGGTCTGAGAATTTGAAAATCCAGAACTGAAGTGAAAAGAAAATCAACATCCCTGTGATACAATGTCATGCTAACCCTTAAGGGGGAGGGAGATGGGCGTAGATGGTGCCACGGGAACCAAGTGACAGGAGACGCAGGAGCTTAGACACTGCACAGCTGTGCACCTCCCTCTGAGCTCTGCCCCAACTGGTGACCCTCCCTGCCCACCAGCCTGCTTAGGAAGTGAGACACAGATCATTTAGATGCTTTAAAAAAGATGAAGGAACTTTTCAATGTGGAGAACATAGTCTCCTGTGTTGAACCAAGTTTATAAACAAGCTTTTGTTTCCCTACAAGTTTCTCTAGGTGCCCAGAGAGTTCACCTTCTCTGAAGACTGCACCGTGCTGGGCCCAGTGGCTCACTCCTGGAATCCCAGCACTTTGGGACGCCAAGGGGGGAGGATCACTTGAGCCCAGGAGTTTGAGACCAGCCCGGGCAACCTAGTGAGATCTTGTCTCTACAAAAATTTTTAAAAAATTAGCTGAGAGTGGTGGTGTGTGCCTGTAGCCACAGCTACTCTGGAGGCTGAAATGGGAGGATCTCTGGAATCTGGGAGGTTGAGGCTGTGGTGAGCCATACTGTGCCACTGCAGGCTAGCCTGGGTGACAAAGCAAGACAGTGTCTCAAAAAAAAAAAAAAAAAAAAAAAAAAAAAAAAAAACTGCATCTTTTTAAGCCCTTGGCTTTTCCAGTTAAAGCTCCCAGGAATAATCTCAGAAACAGACTGAAGAAGACTTCCCTTTAGAAATCAGGGTCACTAACATTACAGACGCAGCTCCGGAGCTCCCCTGCGATGACCAGCACTTGACTCTGGAGCACTGAATGGGTTTGAGTGAAACCATCTGGCTTCAGTATAGACTCACCCCAAGGGAAAAACGAGAACATCTGAGGCACTGGGATTGGGAAAGGAGGATGGGAGGATGGACTCAAACTGTAGAAATGAAAAGTGTCAATAAAATGATGCTAGTCAATTCCATCTCCTAAATACGTCTCAAATCCACTGTCTGCATCCACTGACGTCCCCACTTTGGGCACTGAGGCCACCATCATTTCTCACCTGGATGACCGCAGTGCATTTCCCTGTTCCCTCCCTTAGATCGTGGCTGAAACGTCGCACCCTCAGAGAAGCTGCCCCGCCTCCAGACCAAGTCTGTCTCCACATTGAGCCTTTCTATCCAAAACCCCTGCACATTTCTTTAAGTGCACATATCACAAGGGTTGCTGTACAACTCATTAGATAAAGAGTTGTTGAATGCCTCTTATCTTCATTGGAATATAAACCCGATGAAAGCAGGACCCTGTCTATCTTACCTCTGTGTTCTCAGGGCCTGGTACATGGTGCCGTATACATCGTAGGCTCTCAGTAGGGCCTACAAATGAATGAGTGAATAAATGAATGGTCACTTTGCCCAGGGCCACTTAGAATAAGATGTTAGGGACAGGGGCTGCAGAAAAGCAAGGCTAGCCCTATTTATATGTTAGTACATACTCAGCCATCTGTATCCGTGGGTTCCACATTTATGGATTCAAACAACCATGGATTAAAAGTATTCAGAAAAAAAAAAAAGGATGGTTGCGTCTGTACTTAACACGTACAGAGTTTTTTTCCTTGTCATTATTCCTCAAACAATACAGAATAACAACTATTTATATAGCATTTATATTGTATTAGGTATTATAGGTAATCTAGGCATCATTTCAGATATACCGGAGGACGTACCTGGGTTATACGCAAATACCATGACATTTTATACCAGGGACTTGAGCATTTGTGGATTTTAGTTTCTGTAGGAGTCCTGGAGGCACTCTTCCACTGATACTCAGAGACAATTGTACCCTCCAATGAGACTCTAGCTCAGCTGGAACATTTTGTCATTTTTCTTATGCTTTCCCTGTTTCCTGTAGTGATAAGGACAGTAAGAAAGACGACTCCTCATACCTTCCAGCCAGTATTGGGGGGAAATGGGTTTCCAGAAGGTAGGGAGGTTGTTCAAACCCCTGGGCCTGGGGTAGGCTAGAGGCTTGGGCCCTGGGCCCTGGTGTTCTCCAACACGGCCCAATGGGGAAGAGCAATTTGATATGTATATAAAATAAAATCAAGGGACCTAGGACTGTCATAATCCACACTCAGTAAATCCTATGGCACACATGCCAACTGGTAAATCTTGACAGAGCATACATGTGTGAATCTCTACACAACTGCAACAGCTACTTTGATATGGGTCACACAGAATTCTTCAAAATGAACCAATCTTCTTATATTTAAAACAAGGTGAAAATATATATTCATGATTTTGTGACTATACTAAAAATTACTTTAAAACGTCAATTTTATGGTATATGAATATCTCAATAATAAAATGGCACTTACTTCCACATCCCAAATCCAAATCACGTTTTAGTACCTATTTTATGATAATATACATATTTTACCCATAGGAATCTACAATCTCAGAAACTTGTCTTCCTTAATGAGTTCTGGGCTACTGACACTATAAAATTAATGGAGTCCAGTGACATATATTAGCTAGGCTGTGCAAGGAGGCTATCAAAGTGAGCACTAGTGAAAGCTCACACTAATGTGGTATCAGCCACATCCGTACAGAATAATAAACCAACATGGCCGCCTTAGCAGAAGAAACTTTATCCATTAAGTCAGTGACAAAGGCCACAAGAATAGCCTAAAAGGCCGGGTGCGGTGGCTCATGCCTGTAATTCCAGCACTTTGGGAGGCTGAGGCAGGTGGATCACGAGGTAAGGAGCTCGAGACCAGCCTGACCAACATGGTGAAACCCCGTCTCTACTAAAAATACAAAAAAATTAGCCAGGCGTGGTGGCACAGGCCTGTAATCCTAGCTACTCAGGAGGCTGAGGCAGGAGAATCACTTGAACCCAGGACACGGAGGTGGCAGTGAGCCGAGATAGCACTACTGCACTCCAACCTGGACAGAGCGAGATTACGTCTCAAAAAAAAAAAAAACCCTAAAAGCAAAATTCTACCCTATGAAGCATACCTTTCTTGCCATTGCAGTCAACTTCTAGTACCAATGAAATATCCCACAAGACCCTATGTAGTCTGGGATACCTAATCACTGAATCCTTCTGACTGCTAGGAT
Source organism: Homo sapiens (assembly GCF_000001405.40). Classification (NCBI taxonomy): domain Eukaryota; kingdom Metazoa; phylum Chordata; class Mammalia; order Primates; family Hominidae; genus Homo; species Homo sapiens. The sequence continues at coordinate 245,338,848 of NC_000001.11, read as the reverse complement.
CTTATGTAAGCTTTGGGGGTGATCGATGCACCTCTACTCAAGGAGCTATTTTGGGGATGGTGAATGTACAGGGAGGCTTCTGAGGGGTGTACACTTCCTCCAGAAGGCCTTTGCCCTTCGGGTCAGAGGTTACAACATACTGCTCCATGCCATCAGCTGACTGAAGCAGAAAAGACTCAGAGCTAATTTCTTAGAAACTCTCTTCTAGAGCTATGTCTGAGAATGTGGTGCTCACACTTAGTTGTGCTTACTACCACACAGAAATGCGTATGTGTTCACACTCGTGTATATGGATCACTTGGTAATGCGTGCAAGTGAATCAGATGTATACATAAGCACAAACCAACATTCAAGAGGAACCCAACATCTGGATTGGGGACTGGCAAACTTCTGCTATAAATAACCATTAAGTATTTTTGGCTCTGCAGGCCATATGGTTTCTGTCTCAACTACTCAGTTCTGCTGAGGGGAAGGAGGAAGTTGCCATCAGAAACACGTAAATGAATGAGCATGGTTGTTTCCAATAAAACTTTATTTACAAAAACAAGCAGCAGGCTGGCTTTGGTCTGCTGACCACAGTTTTCTGCCTCCTGGTGTACATAATGGAAGCCTGTACTCTTTAAGAAACAAGTAAACCATTTTGAAGGAATCTTGCTAGAGTAACTTCATCTTCCTACAAAGTTATGAGATATAATTCAAGCTTTTGATGATTCAGCGTCTACTACGAATGTTAATTAATTTCATTCCATGCCGCATGACATAGTTTCCACAGGCACGGTAAAGTGCAAAAAGTTGTTTGCCCCAAACCAGACGGCTGTGCTTAGAGACTCTGTGTCTGCTTTCTGTCCCCTCTCTTCCTGTCAAGCTGTTAGCTGTCGCTTTGTTGGTTTTGCCTTTGTGATTGTCTTTATCTTTAGTTTGCCATTTCTGATCTGCTCCCGGCCAAGCACGCTATCTAAAGGAGACCTGGCTGCGAAGGGTGATAAGTTTCTTTTAAAGAAACACAAGCATGAGCTTTGTCACCTTTATGCAGCCACTGCATGGTCTTCTGGACTTTCTAATTTGTCATTTATTTTAAATACTTATGGTTGCTCGATAAATGACTTATGGGTGAGATGTTACTCTGTGTGTGTGTTTGTGTGTGCACCTATAAACACACACACCATAGTCATTTATTTATTAATTCAATAAATATTTATTGAATTCCTATATGTGAGTCAGTTCTAAGAATATGGACTACATTCGTGAACCAAAGATTGGAAAACCAAAACACATATACTCATACACGGGTGCACACACACACACACACACACACACACACACACACACATTTCCTAAGTACTTCTAGGTCACCAGGCTAAATGAATGGCCAGGCGTGGTGGCTCACACATGTAATCCCAGCACTTTGGGAGGCCGAGGTGGATGGATCACTTGAAGTCAGGAGTTCGAGACCAGCCTGGCCAATGTGGTGAACCCCCGACCCCCGCCACCCCTACTTAAAATACAAAAATTAGCCAGGTATGGTTGGGGGTGCCTGTAATCCCAGCTACTTGGGAGGCTGAAGCAGGAGGATCACTTGAACCCAGGAGGTAGAGGTTGCAGTGAGCCGAGATCACACTACTGTACTCCAGCCTGGGTGACAGGGCAAGACTTTCTCAAAAATAAATAAATAGATAAATAAATAAATAAATAAATAAATAAATAAATAAATAAAACTTCTAAATGCTCTCCACATCCTCCCAAACATACACACAGAATTGCTTCTACTTGATAAACCAAAATGCCCACTCACTCCAATTTTCTCTTTGTACCTCATTTCCCGCCTCCTTTCTTCCCATGGAAGCAAAGGTAAGTCACAAACCTGCAGAAAGACAGGAGGCCCAGCCGACTACCCAGGAATCCAAGTGGTCAGCTTGTTCTTGGATCATTTAAAACTGCTTCTTCAACTGTTAATGAGGCAATACATTCCTGTGATCTGGGAGGTGAACCAAAAATCCTAGCCTAGTTTCATTTCAAATGGACTAATTAGCAAAGAGCCAGTCTTTCCAGTTTAATGAAGTTGCATTTTCAGTTCCTGGCCACTTTGGAAAAAGAAAGGTAAGAATTCATAGGGTATCAGATGTATTCAGGTGAGGAAGGTCAAAAAGCATGTTGATACGGAAGGTATGTATAGGAAAAAGCAGGAAATGACTAAACCTGGAGGCGGCTTCAGGTGCTCTCCCAAGAATGAGTGCTCACAGGGCTCCGCACGAGCCGCCGCACGAGCCTGCAGAGAAGCAAACCATTATTCCAGAGAGAACCTTTTCCTGCCAGTCCAGCTAGTCCTGATTCCACGTGCGTGAAGAAAGGCAAAACAGCATCCCTCCCCAGAGCAGATCAAGGTCACTGCGACCTTCACCAAGTGGCCAGATCCACCACGCAGCCGCCAGTCGGAGGCACCCGCATACCATGACCCCTGTCTTGCACGGTGCCCCTAAATCCTACAAGCGGGTCTCCTGCATCCCCAGAGCAGTCCTTTTTCTGATGGCCCACTCACTCTACGCACTCCTGTCTCCTTCCTCTCTCTTCTTTCTGAGAACAGTGGATGGTGCTTCTTCTAGATGGCATCCGTGCAGCAGAAAGCCCAGCGGCTATGCAGAGTGGAACAGCAATCCCTGCGTGGGACTCTCCTTTCCCTGCGTGGGACCTTCTTTCCCTGCATGGGACTCTCCCTGCGTGGGACTCTTCTTTCCCTGCGTGGGACCCTCCTTTCCCTGCGTGGGACCCTCCTTTCCCTGCGTGGGACTCTCCTTTCCCTGCGTGGGACCCTCCTTTCCCTGCGTGGGACTCTCCCTGCGTGGGACTCTCCTTTCCCTGCGTGGGACCCTCCTTTCCCTGCGTGGGACTCTCCTTTCCCTGCGTGGGACCCTCTTTCCCTGCATGGGGCTCTCCCCGCGTGGGACTCTTCTTTCCCTGCGTGGGACCCTCCTTTCCCTTCGTGGGACCCTCCTTTCCCTTCGTGGGACTCCTCCTTCTCCGCGTGGGGCTCTTCTTTCCCTGCGTGGGACCTTCCTTTCCCTGCGTGGGACTCTCCTTTCCCTGCGTGGGACTCTCCCTGCGTGGGACCCTCCTTTCCCCTCGTGGGACTCTTCTTTCCCCACGTGGGACCCTTCTTTCCCCGCGTGGGACCCTTCTTTCCCCGCGTGGGACCCCCCTTTCCCCTCGTGGGACTCTCCTTTCCCCTCGTGGGACTCTCCTTTCCCCGCGTGGCACTCTCCTTTTCCCGCGTGGGACTCTCCTTTCCCTGCGTGGGACTCTTCTTTCCCTGCAGGCGTTGATGGGCAGCACATCCCATCCTGACTCCTTCCCAAGCTTCCTCCCTCACAGTCCAGACTCCTCCAGATTCTACCTCATTCAGATGATGCAGATTCTCAGGCTAAGAAAACCAACCTCCTGGTCTGTCATGTTTGGCACTAGAGTGCGTATATGTGTCTGTGTGTGTCACACAGGTAAACCACAAGCAGGAGCCTGGGATGCCAGGCCAGGGGAGGACAAGGCAAAGCCAAAAAGGGGAAGTGGCAATCCAAGACTGGATTAGACTGAGACGGGTGCCATGAGGTCAGCTGAGCCTTGCCCCAGGCTGCAGGGCCCATCTGGGGTCCGTGATGCCTCAATTATGCCTTCATTTTTAGCACAGAAGTGCCAGTTGGACCACAGAATCCAGAGAGCAGACAGACAGTCTGAAGTCCCCAGACACAAGCAGGGCAAAAGGAAATCAGAGATGCTGCACTGGTGCTGGGCCTCAGTGGTTTTAGCTGCCTCATGCTTTCTTACAGATAACTGAAATCACAGCCCCAGCGGAACATGCTGGCCACTCCAGATTACATCCAGTTCTCGCCCAACTTAAGGTCATGAGACCTGGGTTCAAATCCCAACTCCGACACCTAATACATGTGTAGACTCGGTCCAGTTATCTACCCTCTTTACCCTTCGGTCTCATCTATGAAAATGGAACGGCAGTCATACCTACTGTACAGGGTTAGTAGGAGGCTGACATGACAGCAGTTATGGAAAGTACTTGACGGAGGTAGACATAGAGAAAATGCTCAGAACATCTCACCCTTGGCAGAAAATAGACACACACTCTAAGGTGCACTGCAGGCTCACTCCTCATTCTTGATTGTTTCTGTTTCTGTTCCTTTGTCTGCCCCGCACCCATACTCCTCTCCAGAAGATGCCCCTTCTCCTCTGCTGACCCTCCAGGGAGCCGGGGTCTGACCCCAGATGGAGGTCACTCTTCTGAAGGCTCCTGCAGGGCAGCTGGCTTTGCAACCTTCCTGTGCATCCAAGTGGCCTCTCACCTACATGTTTTATGAGGAGGGACTGACTGATCGGAATTTCACTCTTTGCAGAAGACATCTGTTTTGAGGGCAGTAAAGACCTAGGTGGCACTGCTTTGAAGGCAAAGAAATGAAGGGCAATTACCTTGCCATTAATCAACCAGGATACAAGGACTGAACAGAGTTAGTTAACACCAGGAACGAACATTTTCATAACATTCCTGCGCATTAGGAATGAGCAAAACACAAATTAAGTTAGTAGCCACCTATGAGATTGCTTGAAACATGTCAGTGTAGATTTTAAAGCTGCATGTAGAATGCAAGACACTAAAAGGAATTACCACCACTTCCTCTGAAAAATAAAAAGAGAGAGAGGCCATTGCTGCTCCCACACACATTGTTTCTTGTACCTTGCTGTATGGGTAACAGAAGATGACTGAACTTTTCTGCTTCCTTCTAAGCCCCAAATAAATCGCCCACCCCAGCCCACCTCACCCGACATCCACTCGTAGAGGAGATTTTTTTTTTTTTGACACGGAGTCTCACTCCGTCGCCCAGGCTGGAGTGCAGTGGTGCGGATCTCAGCTCACTGCAACCTCCGCCTCCCAAGTTCAAGCAATTCTCGTGCCTCAGCCTCCCGAGTAGCTGGCATTACAGGCGCCCACCACCATGCCTGGCTAATTTTTGTATTTTTAGTAGAGATGGGGTTTCAGCATGTTGGCCAGGCTGGTCTCAAACTCCTGACCCCAAGTGATCCGCTGGCATCGGCCTCCCGAAGTGCTGGGATTACAGGTATGAGCCACCACACCCGGCCTGAGGAGATATTTAAGTTAAGGCTCTGGAGAGGTTCAAGGTTAGGATCAAAAGATAAAAAATGGAGAGTTACAAGCATGTGCACACACACGTGTGTGTAAAAATGTAACATAAATTTACCATTTTAATCATTTTTAAGTGTACAGTTCCATGGCATTAAGTACATTCACATGACTGTGTAACCGTCACCACCGCCCACCTCCAGAACGCTCTGCATCTTCCCAAACTGAAACTCCGCACCCACTAAACACTCACTGCCCATTCTCCCGCCAGCCCCTGGAAACCACCACTCTACTTCGTCTGGTTTGTCTCTATGAATTTCACTGCTCTAGGTGCCTCACCTAAGTGGCGTCACACAGTATTTGCGCTTTTGTGACTGTGGCTGATTCGACTTAACATCATGTCTTCAAGGTTCATCCAGGCTGTAGCGTGTGTCCGAATTTCATTCCTTTTTACGGCTGAAACAACATTCTATTGTATGTAGAGACCACATCTCGTTTATCCATTTATACGGTGACAGGCCCTGGTGTTGCTTCCCTCTTTTGGCTAATCGTGGCTAATGTGCTGTGAACATGGGTGTGGGACTATCTGTTGGGCCTTCCAGTATTCTATCAATCCAGCCACACTGTCTCCGTTCTGCTTTTCTCCTGCATGCTGACTCTGATTTCTTCTTTCCCACCAGTCCTTTGATTCTTGCTGCCCAATAAATCCTTGGCACCACCATGATGGCTTCATGTTGGCACCCCTTCCCTACATTTTGCCCTTTTTCTGCTGGATTTGGAGAGACCCATTGAAAATACAGTGTCTCCAGGAGATGTTTCTGAGCAGTCCTCTTCCCTTCTGCACTTGCCTTAAGTCTGCCATCGACAGCAAAGCCAGTCCCTGTGCCGAGGAGAGGCAGTGAGATGACATAAAAGCCACAGATACCCCAAAGACTGGAAACTTATGAGCCATGAACGGAAGCCAGGTCATAGTGCTGGGCGCCAGCAAACCAGCCAGCACTCCTCGCTGTCTTGTGCAAAGCATGACACACATAAGGGACCCACCACCCTGAGTGAAAACCAGCAGGGCTGTGGCTTCCAGGAGACGACTCACAACATGTCAGCAGTGGGGGTGGGAGTAAGTGGTGGGGGGAAAGGCAAGACAAAGGTGGAGGCTGAAACCAACAGGGGAGAGAAAGGTTAGATCAGACAAAAGCTTGCTCACTAAAGAATTTGCTAGGGAAAAATAAAAATTAAAAGGAAGTGCTTACTTCTGGCATTCAGAGGCTAAAGAAAGAACATTTCAGACTGTAAATCCAGATTTGGGGAGCGAACACTGATGAATTGTGAGAACCCCCATTCTGACCTGAAATGCTATACCCACCTCTCACCTGCCCCCTTGGGAGACGGGTGGGGGTTATGTCATTTTTAGTCATCTGCCTGAATGAATTTACAACAGTTCAAAGAGAGGTTGGCCTACACACTCCTCCAACCACTGATACACAAATGGTCTTAGAAGACGGTCTGCAGCAGCGTAATCCAGTTCATAACCATCTGCTTACTGCATTTCCTGATGAGGACTTCATTTTTTATTGCTATTTATTTATTTCGAGACAGAGTCTTGTTCTGTCGCCCCAGCTGGAATGCAGTGGTGCCATCTTGGCTCACTGCAATCTCTATTTCCTGCATTCAAGTGATTCTCCTGCCTCAGCCTCCCGACTAGCTGAGACTACAGGCACCCACCACCACGCCCGGCTGATTTTTGTATTTATAGTAGAGATGGGGTTTTGCCATGTTGGCCAGGCTAGTCTCGAACTCCTGACCTCAAGTGATCTGCCCACCTCGCCTCCCAAAGTGCTGGGATTACAGGCCTGAGCCACCACGCCTGGCCTCCTGATGAGGACTTCAGACCAAAGTAAATCTCACTTTTTAAAAATCCCTGCATTTTCTACATACGAAAGAAGTGTACGCTATCACATTTTGTACATTGTCTTATTACTATGCACTATATAATAATAGTCCACAGTGAATATTGTACAGGGGCTATCTCTCCATCTATCATCTGTAGCCAGTTGTTGACCTAAAATCTCACAGCCAACTAGAGCTCCATGGAAAATAAATCCTTCCTCAGCAGCCACCAATCCAGGGACAGTCCCACGCTCCCTGGAAATCCTATCTCACTTAGAGACGAAGTGTCACAAAGGTGTCCACCACAGGTAGCACCTTACTTCAGGGTGGACGCGATGTTCTGGCAAATGTGGGTACCTCAAATTTCCTTCACCCATTTTCAGATCCGCGTTTTCATTTAAAGTCTTGGACGACTGCGGGCTTTTCTTAAGAGCACCTTGAGTTGTTTGGTCCTCTGGTTTAAATATGAAGAAAGAGTGTCGTGAGCTGTCATTTTTCTCAGCTTGTGCCCTGCTTGTGAGGCTCTTCTGAAGCTCCTGGCTCAGCACCCCCACAACTTGGCACCGTGGCGCTGGGAAGCCTCTGGTCCGCACGTGCACCCTCCTCCGGCAAGAGCGCGATCCATGTCTCGGTCACTCGCGCGGAATGAGAAGCCTGTGCCTCCGCAGCAGGCTCTGCTCTGCCACCCCCAGGCCCTTCGTACCCTACGTCATACCGCAGACTCCCACCGCCCCCTGCCGCGGCTGCGTTCCTGCTCTGAGGCTCCCTCCTGGACATCAGCGTCTCAGGATCATGGTTTCTGCTCACCGTGTGTGCATTTTCCATCCGGCCTCTCCAGAATCTCTAACCGCCCCCGTTCCTTACTTACTACGTGGGCTCTCTCTCTGCGGGGACTTCCCGCACCTCATTGGTGAGCCTGCCTTTTAAAAAAAGCACTTCATTTGAAATCATTAAAGGAAGGAGTGAATATATCAGACATCCTCCGACACCCCCACTCCCTCCCCGACTCTCCCCCGACTCTCCCCCCATTACCCCGCTATTCCCTCCCCCAATCCCTCCACCACTCCCTCCCCCACTCCCTCCCCGACTCTCCCCCGGCTCTTCCCCCATTACCCCCCTATTTCCTCCCCCACTCCCTCCCCGACTCTCCCCCGACTGTCCCCCTATTACCCCCCTACTCCCTCCCCCACTCTCCCTCCCCCACTCCCTCCCTCCTCCCTCCCCCACTCTCCCTCCACTCCCTCCCCCACTCTCCCTCCACTCCCTCTCCCACTTCCCCCAGTCCCCCCACTCCGTCCCCACTCCCTCCCCCACTCTTTCCCCACTCTCCCCCCACTCCCTCTTCCACTTTCCCTAGTCCTCCCACTCCCTCTAGTCCTCCCGCTCCCTCCCCCACTCCCTCCCCCCACCCACCCGTTGTCCCTGCTGCTCATCTTCACACATGCGGTGCACCAGCCTGCCTGTCCATGGCCTTCTGCCTGGGATTCTTTATGGAGAATTTCACATGAGGCCATGTGACTGCCCCTCACACCCCCTCCCCAAGAGTCTCAGCCCACACGCTCTGCAGCCCCTCCTGGCTAGGAAAAGATGGCATCTCCCACTCCTGAATTTCCTCCTCAGGCCAGCCCAGGTGGGCCTGTGTGCTAAAAGCAGACAATTCTACATGGAGCCTTGGGACCAGACAGTGGACTGTGTCTGCTCAGATAACTCAGCTCCTAACATTAAAATCCTTTTTGGGGGCCAGGCACAGTGGCTCACTCCTGTAATCTTTGCACTTCAGATCGGTTGAGCCCAGAGGTTCAAGATCAGCCTGGGCAACATAGCAAGACCCTGTCTTTACCAAAAAATTTCACAATTAGCCAGACACGGTAGCTGTAGTCACAGCTACTTGGGAGGCTAAGGGAGGAGGATAATTTGAGCCTAGGAGTTCAAGGCTGCAGTGAACAGTGATTGTGCCACTGCACTCCAGCCTGTACAACGGAGTGAGGCCTGTCTCTTAAAAAATAAAAATAAAAGATTTTTTTAAACACCTTTTTTGGTCTTATTGATTGTATACATGTCACTCTATTGTTTATTTAACAACGATTTCGTTAGCGTCTACTATGATATCATCTAGCAAACCTTCAAGGTACACATGAGAGAGAGAGTTGGGAGCCTGGAAAGGGGCAGGGGCAGGAGAGTGGGAGTGAATGGTGAGTGAGTGAATGTGTATGAGGGGTGTCATGGCGGCCTCCAGCCATTCAGCCACTGCAGAAGCAGGACGGGAGGGGTCTGGACCCTGTCCTTCCACACATGGAGGGTTGGGCTATACTTCCAGACTCTCAGGTGCAACTAATTCCTGGGGCCTCATCTGCCTGTGGTTCAAGTCCAAGGAGAGATAGTGGCGATGAGGGTGGAGCTCCGGAGCTGCAGGCAGGAATGCCACGGTGTTTATGTAAGTCCACTCTGCCCTTCCCACTTGCAGCACTGGTGATGGCCGTGGCCCTCTGACTTGTGTTAGTGGCAGATGATGGGCGGACTTCCCTGAAAAGCAGACACTTCCCTGAGGCCTGGCAATTCTCGAGTTAGAACGCAGCCCAATCCTGAGACCAAGTCAACAAACAATAATTGATCCCAACTGGGAAACACACTTTGGAAATAGTCTCTAGGGACTAGGGTCCACCTCCTATCCTGTCCCCACCTCCAGAAAATAGAAAACCACAGCAATGGCTAAAGCTTTCCAAACATACGACCTCTTTGCGAGCCTGTGAATTCAGCTGGTGTTTTCTAGCAATATCCAGATGCCCTCATTTTAATCCACAATTTCATGCCTTTTGCACAGAACTACAAAATGACAGAAAATTAGAGAAAAATACCCTCTAATAGATTATAATATACTAATAAGAACACACAATGAATCACAGAATGTGGGTGGACATAAGAACCGCAACAGAGACACGGTCTCACTACGTGGATGAATGGACTCTCCCAGCTGATTTCCAGGGTCACTGCTCCCCTGTCTGTCTTCACGAGTTCTCGATGAGCGACAACTGGACCTGTCTCAAACCCTGTGTCCCTCCTTGTAAAAGAACAGCCCTGCCAGTGTGGAGACCAGGCGTTGTGACCAGGAGGGCGGTCACAGTGCCAAAATGAGTGTCGTGCCCTTTCCTGCTCATGGGTGCTAGTCCTTTATAAACCAACTAAAGGCATCACCACATTCCCTGGTCTTTGCTAGAAGGAGCCTAGTGTCAGTTGGTGGTCATGGTGCACTGGCCACTCTAGGAATTCCGCAAACCACACCACATCACAGCATGAATTAAGGCAGGCAATGCTTACAGCAAATACACAGGCATTCAGTTTAGCTCTATGCTTGACATATCTGGGTAACTAACAAGTAAAACTAATATAAGGTACCTAAAAGAGAAAGTCTTACAAGGTGAAATTGCAACTACTAATTCTTTCAAAATCTTGGCCTATATTAGAGATCTATGTTTATGAGTATGAATAAATAAATAGAAACAGACTGCAGGCCACAACGAACCCTTAGTCCCAGCATATTCCCTAATTTTACAAATGTTAGGCCTGGGACCCCCCTCCCCCCTGCAAAATAAGTGACTCCCCCATAATGACATGCTCCAAATGGCACAGGAGGCTCAGGCACCCCCACCTCCCAGCCTGGGTCTCTCTCCCGCCCTCTCCTCAGCTAAACACAGAAACACAGCCTACCAGCAAAGCAGTTCATTCGGAGACCTCCTGCCCACCCTCACCTGTCACTCTCCTGACAGGCCGTGACAGGACTCAGATAGTCCCCTCTCTGCCACTCTTCCCTTCATGCTGGCTAAGTGCAGACTCTTCCCTTCACACTGGCTAAGTGTGGATTGGCATGTCTAGGATAAAGACATTCTCACGATCCCAGGTCAGAACCATTCTTGTTTTCTGGAAGTCACAAGTTCCTGAGGTCTGATAAAGCTCATTTTGCCACTGAAAATATTACCTTCATAAAAACATAAACGCTCTCTTTTCCCATTGATCTAATGTCTTAAGTCATTAGAAAATACATTTCATGGAAAAAATAGCTAAAAATATGTCCATGTGTTGCAGTCATTTTAGAAGAAAAGATGTCAGAGGCTAGACTCTTTCCTTCTCAATGCTATAAACAGTGGTTCTTGACTCTTCCAGGGACACAGAGCTCTGGAAATATCTGGCATGTAGGAAGCATTCAATACATGGGAATTGTCATAATTATGAAAACAAAACCCTCTCTCAGCACACAGTATCAGGGGAGTCAGGACTCATGGATCCCAGAGAAAGAACTTCCGCTGCCTCCTCTGACAGATGTCGAATTCTAGAGATGTTTCATAGCTAAAAGTTTGGGGAGCAGACAGACCAAAATGCAAGGGAGGAAAACAAATGAGAAAGGAAAAACAACTCGAGCAGTCTATGCAAAAACCAGATGGAACAAGTAAGGTCTGCTGCCACTTATTCTATGCTCTGAGCATCTAAAATGAGACCACTACATCAGGGAAGTCTTTTTGATTCAAACACTCACATCTGTTTCATTTCATATAGGGCATAAGTAAGGGGGAAATAAAGAAAGAAATCGTAATGGTCCTAACCAGAGACTGAATCACTGTAAAGCTAAAGGAAGCTCGAGATTCAGGGCTCCTCACCTGCCTGGGTGCCTTCCAAAGCCATAGGAGGGGCGCCAGCAACATGTATACATGGTCATCTGTGTTCCATTTCCTAAAGAAGGTCCCCCAGATTGTAAAAGGCTTAGGTCCGTTTACAAAACTTGGTTCCAACATTGCTGAACCTGGAATAATTTTTTCAGTTCTTCAGATGGTAAGGAGTAGGAAAAGAAGAGAGAAGTGAAAAACAACTGTAAGCGATAGGAAACAAAGACTGAGAGATGGATGTGAAGGCAAGAAGAAGGGTTCCCACTAATCCCTTGGCCTCTTGGGGCCTGATCCTTGATGTGCAAAAGGAGAAACTGGACTGGCCAGATGACTTGGACATCACCTCCCGGTTCTATGATATTTCACAGTTATAACTAAATACATGAATTTTTAAAATCCCGAGTATGATTCTTAGGAACACAGGAATGACTGCTAAGTCTGCGGAAACCAAAAGCTTGTCCTCCTGACTGCTTCTATGAGAGGCAGGCACCATGGAGGAGGCCGGGCTGTCTCCTGGTCCTTACCAGCTGCTGCTCCTTGTGCCAAGCCTACAACCAAAGCCTTGGCACACATCTGAACTTTTCTGGGCTCTTCGTAGAAGTCAGCATTTCTGAGCATGATGAGGCCACAGAAATGGAAAACAAACAGTGGTCCGGAACCTTTGCCTGGCGGTCCTGGGGTAAACTTGGCAGCCGTTGGCATTTGAATCTCTGGGCTGAGGACAGGGGAACTAGCTGGGTGGGAAGAAATAAAGCCACTTCCCTCAATTTGTGAGAGGCTGAACAAATCTACCACTGTCCAGAAATGCCATTTCTTGGCTGAGTAACCCTAAATAACCCACCTAGTAAATCATGTTAATGCTGTTTCTGTTGGAATATTCTAACGGCTTGTTTTCTTTCTAAACAGAACACCTTGTGACAATAAAAAGGAAGTCAGGAGATAAACTGTGGCTGCTTGAGGCCTTTGGTTTACATTTGAAAAACATCAGTTAGATTGACTGCAACGGTGCTCAGTGTGCGCTGTGAAGAACACGCCTTACTTTTAGAAGAGTCACATGCACTCAAATCTCGATGGGTATTTCTCATCTTGACTGTGACATGATTGCCCGTCTGAGTAGGGGGAGTGGAGTTCTGAGTCCCTGCCCACTGCCCTGCATCAAATCCAGTTGACAATGTTGTTGCTTTCACGTTCCCCATTGTCTCCCTCGTATTCTCTCCATTTAGCAATAAGCGAGGGAGCAGCATTTAGCCTCACACGCAGTAGTGGGAGGTGATGGTCAAGCCTGCAACAGTAGTTCCAATCAGAAAACCTACGTCACAAACAATACCACCCCCCCTCCGCCACACACGCTCTACCTGGCACACCAAATGCTGTCCCAGGATTCATTGGATTGAATTGACGTTCCTATTCCTAGAATCAGAAGGCTGGATGAAATGGATTCTTTTTTTTTCCTTTTTTTTTTAAATGGAGTCTCACTCTTGTTGCCCAGGCTGGAGTGCAACGATGCGATCTTGGCTCACCGCAACCTCTGCCTCCTGGGTTCAAGCGATTCTCCTGCCTCAGCCTCCTGAGTAGCTGGGATTACAGGCATGCACCACCACGCCCGCTAATTTTGTACTTGTAGTAGAGACGGGGTTTCACCATGTTGGTCAGGCTGGTCTCGAACTCAGACCTCAGGTGATCTGCCTGCCTCGGCTTTCCAAAGTGCTGGGATTACTGGCGTGAGCCACCGCGCCCAGCTGAAATGGATTCTTAAGCCTGTCTTTATGAATTCTCTGAGGACAAGGTGGCATGCAGTGGAATAAGGTTGGTTTTAAGCTAAAGTCAACAAATGACGCTCACGGTGAAAGTGAGAACAAATGCCACACATAGCAGGTGCAACTACATGAAACTGCCTATTTTTGCAGGTCAAGATCGTGAATCCTGGCAATTTCATATGGTTCAACTTAATATATATAAAGAAGCATGGGTACACAGATATGGAAAGGATTAACTCCACTCTGGGTATGTGTGTAAGGAGGTGGGCAATGAATATCATTTTCTTTCTTTTTTCTTTTTTTCTTTTTTTTTTTTTTTTTGAGACAAGGTCTGGCTTTGTCGTCCAGGCTGGAGTGCAGTGGCGTGATCTTGACTCACTGCAAGCTCCGCCTCCTGGGTTCAAGCGATTCTCCTGCCTCAGCCTCCTGAGTAGGTGGGATTACAGGTGCATGCCACCACACCTGGCTAATTTTTGTATTTTAAGTAGAGACGGGATTTCACCATGTTGGCCAGGCTGGTCTCGAACTCCTGACCTCAGGTAATCCGCCCACCTCGACCTCCCAGAGTGCTGGGATTACAGGCATGAGCCACCGTGCCCGGCCCCCATTTTCTTTAGGAACATGGCATCTTGGGTTGTCCTGCCGTGTTAACAAGCTTGCCATATCCCAGCAGCCGTGTGCCTGAGGGATGGCCGTGTTTCATGCCTGGCCCTGTGATTGGAATCTCAGAACTGGATGCTCCAGAGGCAGTGCAGGGCCCCAAAGCAGGAGGGATTTCAAGGGAAGGAAGATAGACAAATGACCTGGGCACAAAGCTAAGGAGAAACAATAAAAGAGGAAAAAGAAGGAATCCCAACCACAAGCACTCAGCTTCATTTTATTCTCGACAGCCTCTGTCATCCTGCAGTACAGAAAATGTTCTCTGCAGAGATTCCCGAGCCTCTGGCAGAGCATTTCCATGAATTTCATAGTAAACATTTTGACTGTTTATTGTTTCCATGGAAAGAATTCTTCTTCCTCCAGCTAGGACATCTCAAAATTCCATAAGAAGGGGAATCTATGTCTTGAAGATGAGATGTCCTAAACAATATATTCTGATATTTTTTCCAGCAACTCTGTCCACCATAGGGAGTCTATTCCAGGTCTGAAAATACACTTCCTGCTCAGCCTAAGCTGTGCAGAACCCACATCAACTCCACCTCCAACCATGCATGGCAGAGCCCACCCCACCTCCACCTCCAATCACCCACATCAGGGTCCACCCCACCTCCACCTCCAACCACCCCTGGCAGAGTCCACACCAACTCTACCTCTCACCACCCATGGCAGGGCCCACCCCACCTCCACCTCCAACCACCCACATCAGGGTCCACCCCACCTCCACCTCCAACCACCCCTGGCAGAGTCCACACCAACTCTACCTCTCACCACCCATGGCAGGGCCCACCCCACCTCCACCTCCCACCACCCACATAAGGGTCTACCCCACCTCCACCTCCATCCACCCATGGCAGGACCACCCCACCTCCACCTCCATCCACCCACGGCAGGGTCCACACCAACTCCACCTTCAAGTCCACCATATGCTTCCCCTGTTTATTCCCGTACAGCTGGATGTCCTTGAGGACACACAGTAGGAGCTTGGTAAATGCTTTTGAGTGAATAAGCGAATAAATAGATGGGTCGATTAATTAGTTAACAAATTAATGACTACATGAACAGGTGGTACCTTTGAGAGTGGGTCTTTTCAGAGCCTTTCTTAACTAAAAATTGGAGTGGCACTTTCCGGTGGACTGAAGGGCACTGTTCTGAGGAGAACCTTCCCCAGAAATCCAATCCGCCATACAAATCTGTGGCTCAGTGAAAGATGCTGCTCGGTCTTGCCATCAAGAGAGACCTTTCTCAAAAGGCTGATCTTCTTAATTTTGTTCAATGAATTTCTTGCAGTTTTTCCAAACTTGTTCATAATTTCGTTACAAAGCCTCTTGAAATTGTGACCTTTGTCTACAATGAAGTTATTTTTCCTATATTTCAGAAACTTGGTAATTGTATCAAGTTTCAGGAACCATAACCTCTCTCAACCACATTTATAAAATGAAAGCAAGGACATCCCCCTTCTGAGAGACTGTTGAAAGATCAAATGAGGTAATGTCTGCAAAAGAGCTTTGCAAAACTGTAAGACACAAAATACATACGTCACAACCACACATATCTACACAAATCCATGCGTGTATACACATCCATACATGTGAACATTAATAAGATAATAGGAATAGAGATACTTATATACAAGCTATATAACATAAATATTAATGGCATAATGCTTTTAGTCTAGAAGCGTACTTGAAGTCCAACACAAAACTCTCAGTCTGTGTAACCTCATTTGTCCTAAGTCAAAGCCAACTATCAATAGGACTTGCCCAGGGTCACCCAAATATAGTATCAATAAGAGACTTGGGAGCAAATTGGAGAAACGTTCATCCATGAGCTAGAGGTGTTTTCTACTAGACTATGCTGCCACCTAACTTACAAGGTTAAAAACATCCACATTTTACCACATTGGCACTAGAAGAATGAGCATTCATCATCAATGAATCATTGGTTATCTGACCCTCGGTTACCTTTTTAACAACTTTGCTCTGCCCTTGTTAAAAAGCAAGAAGTGTTTTAAGATGTTCATGATCCTTCGTCTCTTTGTCACTCGGGGCATCTTTAATAATTATAAACAACCACTACCCAAACAGCAGAAAACACAATAATGTTTAAATATGCCATACAAACAGGTAATCAGTTGTTAAACATCAGTTACTAGATGCATCATTTGTTCTTCTGTCCATTATCATGCTGACTTTAGAGTACTGTCTCTTCCATCAACCAATGTTAGTATTCGTTTCTTCAATCACAAAAAAATTGTGTGCTGATCTGTAGGACATGTGTCTGAGTTGTTCTGTTCTTGGATTTGGGGTGAGAGGGAGATGAGATCTAAATGTACTTTCCTTTTTGTGTGTGATTTTTATTTATTTATTTATTATACTGTAAGTTCTCAGATACATGTGCAGAACATGCAGGTTTGTTACATAGGTATACATGTGCCATGGTGGTTTGCTGCACCTATCAACCCGTCATCTAGGTTTTAAGCCCCGCATGCATTAGGTATTTGTCCTAATGCTCTCCCTCCCCTTATCCCCCATCCCCCACAGGCCCCGGTGTGTGATGTTCTCCTCCCTGTGTCCATGTGTTCTCATTGTTCAACTCCTACTTATGAGCGAGAACATGCGGTGTTTGGTTTTTTTGTTCCTGTGTTAGTTTGTTGAGAATGATGGTTTCCAGCTTCATCCATGTCCCTGCAAAGAACATGAACTCATTCTTTTCTATGGCTGCATAGTATTCCATGGTGTATATGTGCCACATTTTCTTTATCCAGTCTATCATTGATGGGCATTTGGGTTGGTTCCAAGATCTCAACGTACTTTCTTGGTTCCTCTCACAGTCTAGTTGTGGCCACAGGGGCCCTGCCAGCCTCCAGGAGTTAAAGGTGAGCTCCAAGGTGATGCTGCTTTCTATGGGAATCAAGTCCATCACCTTGGCTACAATAGTCAGGGCTGCTGGGTTGAATGGCTGAGCGAACTGGCATGGCCTGTCCTTTCCAGGCCTCGGTTTTAGAGCACTGGCCAATTGCGGCTCAATCAGCAGCATCTCAAATGGGAATAAGGAAGCCTTGGTGGTTATTTTGTGTTCTCCTAATGGTCTTTACTTGGGCAAGCTGTTTCCTCCTTCGAAGCTTCGGTGTTCTCCATCTCAATGGATACAAATATCTCCTAATAGTCATCATTTACAAAACAGCCTAGCATGGCTAGGCTACACTAGAACTGAAATGAGAGTTTTGCTGATTTTCCTCAGAGAAACAAAATTCTTGGTAGATGACAACCATCAGATTTGTTATATTCAGCAAGGACATTGCTACCATGAGGTGAATCTATTGGCCACATTCTAACCAATAGCAAGAATAGGCCTAGGAGAGGGTGACAAAAAGAGACACTTGTTTAAGAGTTTACCTTCATGAAAAAATGTAACTTCGATGGAAAGAAACCAGTGAATGTTCGTTGTTATTGATAAAACCAACGAAGGAAACACATCAAGGCTCAACATGGTGGTAAAGGCACAGTACATGGTTACAACTATCTGACATTCTAGAAAAGGCACAACTGTGCAGACAGAAAAAGACCACTGGCTGCCAGGGATGAGGGTGGATGGTGGGAAGGATGAATAGAGAGAGAACAGGGGGCTTTAGGGTAGTGAAACGACTCTGTGTGATACTGTAATGGTGGATATGTGATTTTTTTTCTTTCTAACCAGAACACTTTTGTGACAATAAAAATGAAGTCAGGAGATGAACTGTCACTGCTTGATGGCCTTTTGTTTACATTTGAAAAACACAGGCCAGGTACGGTGGCTTACGCCTGTAATCCCAGCACTTTGGGAGGACGACGCGGGGAGATCACCTGAAATCAAGAGTTCAAGACCAGCCTGACCGATACAATGAAACCCCATCTCTACTAAAAATACAAATATTAGCCGGGCATGGTGGCGTGTGTCTGTAATCCCAGCTACTCAGAAGGCTGAGGCAGGAGAATTGCTTGAACTTGGGAGGCGGAGGTTGCAGTGAGCCAAGATCACACCATTGCACTCCAGCCTGGGTGACAGAGGAGACTAAGCCACCAAAATAAATAAATAAATAAAACAAAACAAAAACAACAACAAAAAAAACCAGTTAGATTGACCGCCACTGCACTAAGTGTGCTCTGTGAAGGACAACACATCTCACTTTGGGGAAATCACACTTGATCATGATCACTGGGTCTTTATTCATTTGTCAAAACTCATACAATGTACAAGACAAAGAGTGAACCCTAACATAAACTATAAACTTTAGTTAACAATAACGTATCAATATTGGGTCATCAGTTGAAACAAACGTAGCACACTAAGGCAAGATGCTAATAACAGGGGAAACTGAGGAGAACGAGAGGCGGCACATGGGAATTCTGTACTTTTCATTCACTTTTTTTCTATAAGCTGAAAACTGCTTTTTAAAAAGTCTATTTAAAAAATAATAATAATAAAGTAGTAAAGGGATTTTGAGGAAGTAGCTTTGGATCAGGACTCAGAAGTCCTGGGGTCCTGCCTGCTGCCTCTGCACTGAACAGGGTGTGTGGTGTGCACGGCACATTGCTGTTCTGAGCACTGTGTGAACTGTGTGGAGGTGTGCAGGGCACATTGCTGCTCTGAACCTCCAGTCTCTCATCTGGAACAAATATGAACAATAGCTGGCTGACCTCACAGCGTGGACCATCATAATGTCCAAATAAAATAGTATACATAAAATACTTTGTTAACGGCAACATTCTAAATGAATGACACAAACAGATTTTCTAAAGGAAAGGGTAATGGTAGACAAAATGATGACACTGAGTCTGTGTTCTTATACTCCCAAATCATTCGCACGTAAGGAATCCACAGCTAAGCTACAACAGAGAAATAGCATGGACTCAGAAATCGTATCCTCAAAATGCTTCCACTCACATAGTCTCCAAGCCACATGGCTGCACTGTCATGCACAGTCTCTTCTTCTCCAACCTGATTTTAGAAAGAGACCAGAGATTTCATAAGTAGTGCATCACAGTACTAAAGTTATTCACATAAAACCTCCCTGGGAAATGACCTACAATTTTAATCAACTTTCATCCCCAGTAATTAATGGAGACATTTTTCCAAGAAGGACAGAGATTGTGTGAGATGCACACACACACGAGAGGACAAAGTTTGGAGATCACGGAATAGTTTGTAATCCAGATACAGGAAAACATTTAATCAGTGTTTTATTTTGATTAAAAAAAAAAAAAACTTGGCGTAGTAATTACTTTGCCAAGCACGAAAGATGTAAGAATGAAGTCACCTCAACAATAAGTTTTCAAAATCACTTGGTGACAAGTTGTGTTGATGGCTGTTTGTCAGGCCTGGCACATGGCCAATGGCAGAAGACTCCACGACAAATGCTGAGCAAGAAGTGGCCCAGCAAAATGCCACATTGTCACCCACTCTTCCGCAGGCTGTTATTTATGCTAAATGATGACAGCTGTGAAAAGTCTCAAAGTCAGAGAGCCCAGGAGATAAAAGCACAAGGATGGAGTTCCTAGAAGCGTGAGCAAATAAGTGAATTGGATCTGGACACATGCTACACATATACATGGCTTGTATAATGTTTGTTCAGCTTGTGTTTTGCTTTCCTGGGAGCTGTAACTTAAAGGAAAGGAATACCCATAGCTCTCTACTGAGTTTAACCTCCTTGGGTCTATTTCCTTAGTGGCAGGTTGACTCCATCAAACCCAAAGCCGTAGGCACCCAAAACTGTTGCCAATTTGCCCCATTCTAGCTAAGAGCAAATATCCCTGTGTTCTTCCTGTTTACAAAAGTTTACTTCTTCCTAAATAGGAGTAAAATGCAGTAGATTTTGGTTTTTGTTTTTTTTTCCTCATCAATCTTGGCTCAGGCTGATTTCAAATAGTAAAAGTTTCCCTTGTGACCGAGAAACTCTTTACTCTGTTTAGTTAGATCTTGTCTCATTAGCCCCTGTTGACCTACTCTGGCCTCATGAAATTTCAGGGATGACGGACACACAGCAGCCTGGGGAATTGAGTTATGTACAGTTTGCAAAGTTTTCAGAGCCACCTTTCACTCTGGAACTCTGATGCATATGCCAGAGTCTCCCGAACTCATCCTTGCTGCTTTCCCTATGAACTTAGGGAGTCGCAGCAAAGTCCCTGCTTGGAAAGGCTAGCATCCAGAGGTCACAACACAGCTCTGGGATAATTCCAGCACTGCTCTACCTGCAGATCCGGAGCCAAGCAGATATTAATGAGCAAGAAGGCAAGTAGCCCTATCAACTTGTATATTCCTCAGGGCAAAGAAGCCCCTCAGAGGAAAAATGGAGGCATTTGGCCATGCCCAGAAGGATGATCAGGTTGGTGCTGGCAGAATTCTCCCTTTCCAGAATCTTCTTCTTCCCTCGTCTTGCTGAGGGTAAGTGGAATTCACACCTGTATTTGCCAGTCATTCCTTGTATTGCCTTTACCCCCCAAGCAATGACAAGAGTTGACGTTGACTGATTGATTTGTTTTGTCTTACAGTGCCCTGTCTGTTGTGTGTACTTAATAAACATTTGCTGATTTGACCCAGAATTAAAACCTAATATACTTAGGGATCTCCTAGATCTCCTCAGAGTTCTCAGTCCTTGCAACAGAGGCAATCTGAACTGAGAAGAGAAACCATGTTTTTGCATCATCTATGCTTCTAAACGAGGGTGCCTCTGGAGAGAGGTCAGGCGCTGCACTAACCTGGAAATCAGGTGAAGTGTAACCTGTAGTGTTAGAGACATTAGCTTGTTAAGAGTGTGAAATCCCCATGCGTGCCCCATATTTTTCAAGGCCATTGAAGACGGAAAGATAAGACCCAGCGGCCACTCTACGTTAGCAAACTTTTCTTGTTTTAGACCTTAACTCTGCGCATCTGAACATCTGCAAGTTGCTGGGAAGGAAGTCAACCTGCCATCCATGGCAAGTTGAGGCATCCATGACGTACTTTCCCGCCCAGCACACCCACCTCTGCCCAGGCCCCTTGGTCCAGCATCAGGGTGTGCAGGAGCTGGGGGAGAGGGACCGGAAATGTGAAGAAAGGGGTGCAGCTCTGGAATGCGGGTCTTCCCTCTCCGACACTTACAGAAACCAATTCTCTTTGGCGGCCAAGCCAGAGGCATTCAGTAGCTTTGTGCTTTTCATCATCATTCAGCGGCATGCAGCTTCCCAGGTTTGCCTCCTCATTCCAAATAAAAGCCCAGGCTCCATTCAGTTTCTTTTCAAGTAACTTCATTCCCCAAGGTGGTATTTAGGTGATTAGTCTGTTTTTCTCAGCAGTGCCCAAAACAAACGGCCTCCCTTCCAGCTCTGGCCTCAAGCTTAGAATAAACAGATCAATCAACCCTGGGGGATAGCAACAACCCCGTGAAAGCTCACAGACAGTGAGCCCTCTGGGCCTGTCAGACAAGAAAAATGTAAGGGATATTAGGCCCGTGAACACTGTGGTTGGTTAGCTAGAATTTTAGGATTTCTAGAGCTAATTTCTAAGAAGGGACCTTAGCGCAACTCCTTCCTTCTACCGGGAAGAGAACTAAATTCTAGCTTTTAAGATCTTTTAATGATAGAGAATTGAAAACAGGATGTCTATTTTTAAGCAGGTTTCTAGATTTATTTTCCTCTTGTTGAACAGTAAAGCACAAAACAACACAGCAGGAAAATTCCAGGCAGGGAGTACAGAAAATCCAAATCAACCCTGAAATGTTGAAATCGTATATCACCACCGTGTAACAGATCCAATATGCACTCCTGACTACAGCATCCATCACCAGGTCTCGGGAGTCCCTCCACCCGGGCTGGACAGCCCAGGCGCCAGGACTCTTAAAGGAAACGCACCAGGAAACACACAAAATGCAGGTTTTTGTCCCTTGAAGGTGATTGTGAGGGTCCTTGAACTAGTTCTGGTTTGTCAAAAGCCCCACAGAAATCACACTTGTATTCATATTTAAGTATTCTATAAAATGTAGCAATTGTACCAAATCAGTATAGGGAAACTGGCCATCCAAGCCAGTCAAGGACACTACTGGGTGGTGAGATGTGTCTAGGTATTTTAAGCTTGCAGACAGCTGGCAAGGATAAATGAATTGTTACTTTATAAATGCAGGAATAGGAAACAGGCTACAACTATCTCTTAAAGCACATTCTATCAGAAAAAAAATAAAAGAGGCCGATGATGATTAAAAAAAAATTGAAAATCATTGAGGTGGATTTTCACCTTCGGGACAAGAGGTGAGAGAATTTTTCTACTGAGCCAAAATTAGTCTCATTTGGGGAAGAATTTTCCAAAATAAGAAGCACCCAGGGGCCGGACGCGGTGGCTCATGCCTGTAATCCCAGAACTTTGGGAGACCGAGGCAGGCGGATCACCTGGGGTCAGGAGTTCAAGACCAACCTGGCCAACATGGTGAGGCCCCATCTCTACTAAAAATACAAAAAAATTAGCCAGGCATGGTGGCGGGTGCCTGTAATCCCATCTACTTGGGAGGCTGAGGCAGGAGAATCGCTTGAACCTGGGAGGCGGAGGTTCACACCACTGCACTCTATCCTGGGCAACAAGAATGAAACTCCATCTAAAAAAAAAAAAAATAGAAGCAGCCAGAGAACCAAAACATGACTCAGTCTCAGCAATTTTCCTTGCAGTGCGGTCATCCACTAAGCCTGGTGACATGAAACAGGCTGTGGTCTAGTTAGGCCCACACTTTACTGTGCAGTCTGTGTTCTGAGGACTTCCTTTGATTGGTATTCTATTTGCATTTGTGGAATTAATGATATGTACTTTAATAGAAATTTATTTTTATTGTGGCGAAGTATCCATAAAATTTGCCATTTGAACCATTTTTTACTCTCTCATCTGTTGCCCAGGCTGCAGTGCAGTGGCACCATCACGGCTTACTGCAGCCTCCATCTACGGGGCTCAAGTAATCCTCCCACGTCAGCAGCCTCTTGAGTATCTGGGACCACGACGTGCACCACCACACCCGACTGATATTTTTCTTTTTCTTTTTTTTTTTTTTTTGCACTCTGTCACCCAGGCTGGAGTGCAGTGGTGCAATCTTGGCTCACTGCAACCTCCGCCTCCTGAGTTCAGGAGAGTCTCCTGCCTTAGCCTCCCAAGTAGCTGGGATTACAGGTGCCCGCCACCATGTCCAGCTAATTTGTGTATTTTTAGTAGAGACGGGGTTTCACCACATTGGCCAGGCTGGTCTTGAACTCCTGACCTCAGGTGATCCACCTGCCTAGGCCTCCCAAAGTGCTGGGATTACAGGCATGAGCCACTGCACCCGGCCTTTTTTTTTCTTTTACAGACAAGGTCTCACTCTGTCGCCCAGCCTGGTCTCAAACTCCTAGGCTCAAGCAATGTACCTTGAACCATTTTGAAGTGTGGGTCTCAGTGGCATTAGGTACATTCACATTTTTGTGCAACTGTTGCCACCATCCATCTCCAGAGCGTTTTCATCAACTCAGACTGAAACTCTCTACCCATTAAACAGTAACTCCAATGGGGATTATAGCCAAATAATTTATTTTTATTTTTATTATTTTTTTGAGATGGAGTTTTGCTCTCGTTGCCCAGGCTGGAGTGCAGTGGCACAATCTCGGCTCACCGCAACCTCCACCTCCTGGGTTCAAGCAATTCTCCTGCCTCAGCCTCCCGAGTAGCTGGGATTACAGGCGCCCGCCACCACACCCAGCTAATTTTGTATTTTTAGTAGAGACGGGGTTTCTCCATGTTGGTCAGGCCGGTCTCCAACTCCCGACCTCAGGTGATCCACCCGCCTCGGCCTCCCAAAGTGCTGGGATTACAGGCGTGAGCCACCGCGCCTGGCCTTAAAGCCAAATAATTTAAGTACATAATGCTAATAGCATTTTACCATTAATTATGTATTATGTGAATCTATACCTTGCTTGAAAATGATTTCATATGAAAATGTAAGACGTTTCTTCAGCTCTTGAGGAAGCGTGCTGGGATATAAGGCAACTGACGAATGGAGGGCACCATACAGGTAGGCGCTGACACCAAAAGCAAGAGCAATCATGGTCAAAGCTGGAAAATGACCATCCTGACTACAGCTTGCAGCACAGCCAACAGAGGTGAGGGTGAGCCAGGAGACGTCCCCTCACCCAGACAAGCATTCAACTTCACAGACCTCATTTATCCATTCACACGACCATTCATTTGCTTATTGAACACATAGTAGTCAGTTGCTTCCATGTATTAGCTAAGCCCTATGCTGAATGTAAGGGCTGTTTGTTTGTTTGCTTTTTCTTTTTTTCGAGACAGAGTCTCGCTCTGTCGCCCAGGCTGGAGTGCAGTGGCACGATCTCGACTCACTGCAACCTCTCCCTCTGGGGTTCAAGCGATTCTCCTGCCTCGGCCTCCCGAGTAGCTGGGATTCCAGGCGCCCACCACCACGCCTGGCTAATTTTTTTTTGTATTTTTAGTAGAGATGGGGTTTCACCATGTTGGCCAGGCTGGTCTCAAGCTCCTGACCTCAGGCGATCCACCTGCCTAGGCCTCCCAAAGTGCTGGGATTACAAGTGTGAGTCACCGCCCCCCGCCTGAATATAAGTTTTTAAGGGCAAGTGCTGCCAGGAGTCCCTGTCTCTGACCCCAAGGGGTTTGCCATCTAGCTAGGGACTCACATACAAGAGCAGGCCTCCTGAGACCTGGACAAAGAGGGACGTGAGTGAGGAGGAAATACCTCAAAGCGGAGGGAACAGCAGGTGCGGAGAGCGAGAGGGGGAAGAGAGAAACGCTCTTTTGAGAGGACTGAAAGGAGCTTCACAAACCCAGATGACAGGAGGGGTGCCATGAAAGAAGAGACTGGGGAGGGTGTCGGGGCCCAAATCAGGATGGGCCTCAGTCTTGCTAAGGAGCTTTAACAGTTTCAGGACAAGGTGAGTCATTGGGGATTTAATGACGAAAATGGTATGTGCACCACAAGAAGCCCAATCTTCAGCTGATCATGTGCAGAGACTTAGGAAGACCGCACAGTTTATATCTGTGAAATATCTGCTAAACACTGCGACTTTCTTCCCGATTAATTCCAGGTGGTGTGAATGCTTGCCGCGGGATCTGTGACAGGGACATGGTTAAAGGGGAGCCTGCTCCACAGAACAGATCTTTTGACCGCTCAGACCTGCAGACCATGTGGTGCTCATGGCTAGTGGTCACCAGTATTTCCGGGTCTTCTCCCCTTCTTACACACTCGGAAGACACAGTTTCACAACCGCCCGTGCATCGGGCAGGGCTGCACAATTAGAGCCAGCCCACAGGCTGTGACTGGCTATGAACTTCTCTGTCATTTTTGGGCTGCCAAACTTAAACACCCTTTCGACAAAGCTCTTCAGTCTGCTTTCCCTCTTCAGTGCACCCTAAGTCCTGCTGACATGGAAGTCATGAGATCTTCCCTGGAGAGTGACCTGGCCCCACAGGGGACTTTGCATAAACCAGTGAAGCCATAGACATCTGGTGTAGCCACAACTTAACCCAGCTTAGCCTGGCTGATGCAGGCAGGTGCAGTGTCAATCCATCTTTTTGTTTGTTTGTTTGTTTGTTTGTTTTTTGAGATGGAGTCTCACTCTGTCGCCGAGGCTGAAGTGCAGTGTCATGATCTTGGCTCACTGCAACCTCTGCCTCCCAGGTTCAAGCGATTCTCCTGCCTCAGCCTCCCGAGTAGCTGGGACTACAGGTGCGCACCACCACGCCTGGCTAATTTTTGTATTTTTAGTAGAGACGGGTCTCACCAGGTTGGCCAGGATGGTCTCGATCTCTTGACCTCGTGATCTGCCCGCCTCAGCCTCCCAAAGTGCTGGGATTACAGTCCTGAGCCACGGCGCCCGGCCAGTATCCATCCATCTTCCCTTGAATTTGTTCTCTTGCAGATACTATTATGGTAGTGTTTTTGCATTAGTATCTCTAGTATTAATATGAGACAGCTGGTGAGGTAGAAAGAGCATTGATCCAGTTTCCAAAAAGAACTGGGCTCTAGAACTGACTCTGCAACCCACCAGCACATGAACTTGGGCATGTCACGTAACCTCTCTGAGACCTACTTTTTTCCATAAAAAGGGGAAGCAACACTTGCTACCGCCCACCCCCACCTTAAGAGTTGATGTGAAGTTTAAAGTCCAAAGGGAAAATGTGTGTGAGAATGTGAGGCAAGGTACCACTCCTGTGACCATTTTCCTACCATTGCTAATGAGTGTCCTAGGGGAGAAGAAAAGGAATGAATTAGAATTGTTTTAAGCTCCCCTCCTCTCGCATACACACAAAAAGAGAGGCAAACGACTCCTGTATTTATGTAGATTAAAAATCTCATTTTGTTGCTCAAATCATTTCAGGTCTCTTGAAAGCTCATGTGAAAGTTGATTATCACATGCAGGCTCAGATAATTTCCCCAGAGAGCTAAACAAATTAAAATATATTTTTTAACTCCAACAAGCTGACACGGGCCATCAGTTGCATCCTTAGGACAAGTTCCATCATGTGGCTTTAATCAGAAGCTGGGTGTCTAAGCAATATTTACCTGGCGGGAAGGGAGGTGGCACAAGCAAGGGGCCAGGAAGTGGTTCATCAGGATCCTCCAATTCTAGTGCCCATTATTCCCAGATAGCCATCTCCATGCTGTAGGTAGACCCAGCTGTGCAGTCAGATGCTGGGCTCTTTATAGGATGACTAAGCCATCAGCCTACCACTCCCCGGAGGAGGTCTTCAATCTGATATGCATAAAACCTCACCTCAATTCAGCGTGGCTGATTCTGAGTTAAACGGTGATTTTTTTGTTTCTTTTTCTGAGATGGAGTCTTGCTCTGTCGCCCAGGCTGCAGTGCAATGGCATGATCTCGGCTCACTGCAACCTCTGTCTCCTGGGTTCAAGCCGTTCTCCTGCCTCAGCCTCCTGAGTAGCTGAGATTACAGGCGCCTGCCACACCAGGCTAATTTTTGTACTTTTGGTAGAGACAGGGTTTCCCCATGTTGCCCAGGCTGGTCTCGAACTCCTGACCTCAGGTGATCCACCCACCTTGGCCTCCCAAAGTGCTGGGATTACAGGCATGAGCCACTGCGCCTGGCCAAGGGGTGATTTATTTATTTATTTATTATTTTTATTTTATTTTATTTTAGAGACAGGGTCTCACTCTGTCACCCAAGCTGGAGTGCAGTGGTGTGATCTCTGCTCACTGCAGCCTCGAACTCCTGGCTCAAGCAATCCTCCTGCCTCAGCCTCCCAAGTAGCTAGGACTACAGGAGCAAACCACCATACCCGGCTGCAGTGAGGTGGAACTTCCCCAAAAAAGAGCAGGCGAGTCTAACTTCCCCAAAAAAGCAGCCTGAAAGCTGTGTAACAGGAGACGATGACAAGACAGCGACCAGCCTGAGCTTCAGCAAGCACAGATCTACACATTCATCGCTGTGACAACGACCCTGCAGACCCAACACGGACCACCCTCCCACAATGCAGAGATAGTGGCCACTGCTCCATGGGTCACAGGCACCCTTGCTGAGCTGAGGTCAGCTCCGAGAGATGCGGGTCATCTGAAAGGAACAATCAGGCGGTGAGAAAAACCAGAGACAGGCGAGTCTAGCTTCTCTCTTCCGCTTTTGCTTTTTAGGAACATCTGTGTGCTTTGTTGCCCCATTTCCTTTCTCCTTCTTCAGCTTCATGCTGATGTTGACACAGACTCCTGATAGAAATTCCTGAGGGGTACAGTTGGAACTGGCAAGACAGTGAGGTGGGGTGAGGAAATCAGAGTGTAGCGTCAAACAACTTAAGTTTCAATCCCTGCTCTGATACTTGGGAGCTACTCATGACACCAGGAAAGTGCTTTGTAAATTGCAAGCAGAGATGGGAAAATTAGTGGTTCATTTGCAGCTGTGGCTCTGCAGGTCACCTTTCCACAGTGCCGGCCCAGCGGGGCTTCCCACACATCACAGCCGCTTCTGCAGGCATCCTCCCTCCCCTGGGCTCTCTCCCCATCGTCCCGCGTTGCTGCTGCTGCCTGCACATGCCACATACACAGCCTTCCCTGCACACGTGCCTGCTGCTTCCTGCCTTCAGAGAGCAAAGCCTTCGAGTGCAAAAGAAGGCAACATCTGAATGAGCTTCCAATACAGATCTCTCCCCCATTTTCACCGCTGAGAGTAAAGGGAAGATAGTTTTATTCAGATGAGGGCCTTGAAAACAGCACATCGTTTCCTAGCTAGGTGACCTTGAACGAGTTTCCTAAGCTCTGAGTGCCTCAGTCCCCTTAGAATATTGTCATGATGCTAAGTGAGAGAATATATGTGAAGTGCTTACAAGTATGCCATAAATGTTATTAGTGATATTGTTATTTTAAGAATAAAGTTAATGGATAAGGGAAAACAAAACCCTCCCACCACTCCATGACATCAGTTAGAAAGCCTATGAACCCAAAGGTTTACCTCTTCAAATGTAAAATAATTGTACAACTAGTACCTAAGACCACGCTATCTCTCTTGGCATATGGAATGTTTGTATTTGCCAGGGTTCTCTGGAGAAACAGAACTAATAGGATATATATATATACATATAGTGAGAGAGAGATATTTATTGATTGATATGTATATATAGTGAGAGATATTTATATATAGTGAGATATATATTTATTGATTTATTATATAAAATAAATATTATATATAATATATATTATAATGTTACAACTAGTACCTAAGATCACGTGACCTCTCTTTGCATATGGAGTGTTTGTATTGGCCAGAGTTCTCTGGAGAAACAGGACTAATAGGATATATATACATATAGTGAGAGAGAGATATTTATTGATTTATATATATAGTAAGAGATATATATAGTGAGATATATATTTATTGATTTATTATATATATTAAATATTATATATAATATAATATATATTATAATTTTACAACTAGTACCTAAGACCACGCGGCCTCTCTTTGCATATGGAATGTCTGTATTCGCCAGAGTTCTCTGGAGAAACAGGACTAATAGGATATACATATATATAAAATATACCTAATATATATATATCACTATATATAGTGAGAGATATTTATTAATTTATTTCATATTATATATTATATATATAATGAGAGAGGTATTTATTGATTTATCATAAGATGGAGAATGACAGATCCCAAGATCTGCAGTTGGCCAGCTGGCGACCCAAGAGAGACTATCACCACAGTCCCAGTGGTAGTCCAAAGGGCTGAGAACCAGGAGACCCGATGGCGTCATTCCATCCCAAAGGCTGGCAGCCTTGAGACCCAGGAAGAACTGATGTTTCAGCTGGAGTCCCAAAGCAGCATGTCCCAGATCGAGCAGTCAGGCAAGAGGACTTCCATCTGACTCACGGGAAGGCCAGTTCTACTCAGGCCTTCGACCGATTGGATGAGACTCACCTGCACCAGTGAGGGCTATTTGTTCACAGACACACCCAAGAACAACGTTTGACCAAATATCTGGGCATCCCGCGGCCCAGTCAAGTTGACACAGAAAATTAACCATCACAACGTCATTGACAGCATTATTGGCACTAATAATCCCTGGTATTCCAGGCAATCCTGATGCACATGAGCCCCTCCATCCCTCAGCTATGCTCCCTGCACACACCCCTCTAGAGCACAATGCACATTTGCTAGAATGTCCTGATTGTCCATCAAGGGTGAGAGCCACATCCTCAGAAAAAATGGCCCTCAGGCATCTGTGCTGGAAATAGCCATTCTTCCTTGGCCAACTGGTTTGCTTTTATCTTAAAAGCCCTAGATTCTGTCACTGACTCCTTTACCCACTGTCTGTTGAGAAGCTCATGGTGCAGTCTGTAGGGTACTTCCAGCCCGAGCTTCGTGCCTAATGGTATGTATTCCACATGCGGACCTCATCTTAGAACTGAACCTGTTACTCCCTCTGATCCTCATCTTCCCTTAACCTTCATTTCCTCACCTCATGATTCTTTCTTGTTCCATTCATGTTTTTGTTTTGTCTTGTTTTGAGACAGGGTCTTATTCTGTTGCCCAGGCCAGGGTGAAGTGGTGCAATCACAGCTCACTGCAGCCTCAAACTCAACCTCCTCAGCTCAGGTGATCCTCCCGCCTCCGCCTCCCATGTAGCTGGGACTACAGGTGCACGCTACCATGCCCGGCTACTCTTTTTATTTTGTATTTTGTAGAAGCAAGGTCTCACTATGTTACCCAGGCTGCACACATGCTTTTTTTAAAAACACACTTCAAGTTTATTTTAGAGCAAGGCAGGTATCCATGCAAGGAAGACATATGAGCGTGTCTTCACGAGCACATAGACCCAAGTAGGTTATTTAATCTTCCTCTCTCCACTACCTAGCACCTTGTCATTTTCCCCAAAACTGCTATTCAGTTGGCCTGATCTGCACTTTGATAGCCTGTTAAATTTCACCATATTTGTCATGTAAAAAATGTTCCAGGCGTCACCAAACTTCTGTATTTCAAAGACAAGGCCACACAGCCTTCTCATGCCTCTCCCTCTCCCAGAATTCCAGGAGCGTGATGACAAGTATTTCTCTGTAAGGGTCTTTGGGGTCTATACTTCTCCCCTAACCCAGAGGCCGGTTTAAACTCTCTCTGGGAAAAATTCCCATTTAATCGGCTTGAAGGTAGATCACAGAATTCTGAGATTCTATTATTTCAGAGTAATAGAAACGAGTCAGATGGACAGTTTTGAAATAGAAAATGGTCTCAAGAGTTAACAATTGATATCAAAGTTGGACTGAAAGATTAACCAGTTAAAGATTCCTGGTAGACCTGGCCAACATGGTAAAACCCCGTCTCCACTAAAAATACAAAAAATTAGCCGGGCGTGGTGGCGGGCACCTGTAGTCCCAGCTACTTGGGAGGCTGAGGCAGGAGAATTGCGTGAACCCGGGAGGCGGAGCTTGCAGTGAGCCCAGATCGCGCCACCGCACTCCAGCCTGGGCGACAGAGCGAGACTCCGTCTCAAAAAAAAAAAAAAAAGAGAGAGAGAGATTCCTGGTAGAGATAATTGTGGCTTCAGAGGAAAGGGAGGGAGGGGCAATGAGATTTGGGAAGGAAAGGAATGATTCAACTATCTTCGAAATGTTTTTCAACTAAAAAAACATCCAAAGCAGATATGACAAAAAGCCAGCATTTGTTAGACACAGGCGGTGGTTTGTTTGTTATATCACTCTCTGTGTATCTGAAATACTTTTAATTTGATAAATATATTTACTGGAAAAATTCTGTTTTTAAACAAAGATTTCTAGAGAAAATGAGCTTTATGCTGAACTTGAATAGATATTAGGGGCTTATCACCCAAGACAAAAAAAAATCTCTGGGGCCCATTCATTAGCAGAGGAGCCAAGGAACAGAGCAGAACACTAATTTATTTACCAGATCACAATTCCTCCTCGCTGAAATGGATTTAAGTGTTTTCACAGAGCTTCTGGCGTCCTAGTCCCTCTTTGTCACGGTCCGGCATATGAGACGGTTTTGTTTACAACTATGAAACGCTGCCAATCTCTTCAAAGACAACTGTACCCAGAAAAAGTGCATTACCTCATCTGACAAACTAATGTAGATGATAAAGAATCTTAAGAGTGCAGCCAAAAGTTAATTGACACTAATTTGAATAGTTACCAGGATTACAGATAATAATAATACCCTGCACAGAGTTTTGAGAGTTTCAAAAATCTCTTTATAAGTTTGATCCTGCATTGTTCTTGAAAGACCCTTGTGAAAGAGATTAGTAAAAACAGTATCCTATCTGGGATCACATCTAATAATTTCACAACCCATTCATTCTATCCAGTGATAAAAATGTATCACGTACCAATCAGATAAGTTTAGGGGTCAGGTGTCCTGAAGGATGCCAATATGAGCAAGCCGACATCCCGGCCTTAAAGAGCTCTCGATCAGATAGAGATCATATGACAGATACAGAAATAAATATAACGCAAGGCAGACAGTGCTAAGGCTTATAAGAGGGATGAAGGAATATCTTTCTGGAAGGAGAAAACATATCCAGTTTGACGAATTATGGCATTTGAATAACATGTAAGGTTTACAAATGTATAGATGGTGGGGGGTGGGGAGGATTCCATATAAATAAAAGGCTTTAAAAGCCAAGCTGCAGAGTTTAGACTGTATCTAGAAGGCAGTGGATACATTTTAGAGCACAGACAGGTATCTCTGGTTTTCAATATTTTTAAAACAGCTCTATTGAAATATAATTCATCCATTTATATTGTACAATTCTATGCTTTTTAGTATATTTACAGGGTTGTGCAACCATCATCGAATTTAGAACATTTTCATTATCTCCTAAAATAAATTCCATATGCATTAGCTGCAACGTCCCAATTCAGCCCCTGAGAATGAGGAATCTACATACTGTATCTACAGATTTGCCTCTTCTAGACACTTTATATCAAAGGAATCATACAATATGTCATCTTTTGTGTCTAGGTTCTTTCACTTA
Organism: Homo sapiens; assembly: GCF_000001405.40. Classification (NCBI taxonomy): domain Eukaryota; kingdom Metazoa; phylum Chordata; class Mammalia; order Primates; family Hominidae; genus Homo; species Homo sapiens. The sequence goes on along the minus strand of NC_000001.11, from coordinate 245,306,259 downwards.
CCATAATATTTCAATGAATGAACCACACTTCATTCCTTTTCACTGCCAAGTAATATTCCATTATATAGATCATGCCACATTTTGTTTATCCATTCTTCAGTTGATAGACATTTGGGTTGTTTCTATTTGGGGGCTATTATGAATAATGTTGCTATAAACATTCATGTACAAGGTTTTGTGGATACATGTTTTTTCATAACAAGGGTAGAATTGTTGGGTCATATGATAACATTGTGTTTAACTCTCTGAGAAAGTGCCAAGTTCTCTTCCACAGGGGCTATATCGTTTCACATTTTCTTTTCTTTTTTTTTTTTTTTTTTTTTGAGGAGTCGTCTCGCTCTGTCACCCAGGCTGGAGTGCAGTGGTGCGATCTCGGCTCACTAAAGCTCTGCCTACCGGGTTCAAGCCATTCTTCTGCCTCAGTCTCCCGAGTAGCTGGGACTACAGGCGCCCGCCACCACACCCGGCTAATTTTTTGTATTTTTAGTAGAGACGGGGTTTCACCATGTTAGCCAGGATGGTCTCGATCTCCTGACCTCGTGATCCACCTGCCTCGGCCTCCCAAAGTGCTGGGATTACAGGCGTGAGCCACTGCGACCGGCCTCATTTCACATTTTCAACAGCAATGTATAAGGATTCAATTTCTCCACATCCTCATCAACACTTCATATTGTTTATCTTTTTTATTCTAGCCATGCGAGTATAAATGAGGGGTATCTCATTGTAGTTTTGACTTGTGTTTCCCTGATAGCTAATGCTGCTGAATTATCTTTTCATGTGTTTATTGGCCATCTGTATATCTTCTTTGGAGAAATGTCTATTCAAATCTTTTACTCATTTTTATAATTGACTTGTCTTTTTATTATTGAGTGGCAAGAGTCTTTCATATATTCTGGGTACAGGTTCTTTATCAAATATGTGATTTGCAAAAATTTTCTCCCATTCTGTGGGTTGCTTTTGTCATTTTCTGGATGGTACCATTTGCAACAAAAAAAGCTTTCCATTTTGATATAGTCCCAAGTCATCTATTTTTTTCGTTTGTCCCTGTGCTTTAGATTTTCCCACATATTTTGTCAGCATACTCTTTGATTTTCTCTTCACATGACAACAATTTTGTTATATCAATTTTAGAGAGAAAACAGAAACCTAATTCAGTCCTCTCTCTAGCATGGGGGTGGTGATTTTTAAAAACATATAGCTTAAAAATGTTTCCATGTCCTGGTTCTGGCTCTGTATCTTTTTCCTCCACTATACCCACACTTCTGGTGCTGGACACTACACAGCACATTCATATCATGACTCAACCTCTGGGCCTGGGCAAGCTGGCACAATGGGCAGGAGGAAGCCATTTCTGCACTGAGACCTCTCATAATCATTTTTTTTTTTAAAGATGGGTCTGTCTCGTTCTGTCACTTGGTCTGGAGTCCAGTGGTGCAATCATGAATCACTCAGTTTGGACTGCAGTGGTGTGATCATAGCTCACTGCAGCCTCAAACATCCGGGAGGCTGAGGTAGGCAGGCATGTAGGTAGACGGATGGATGGATGGATGGATGGATGGAGGGATGGACGTATGGATGGATGGACAGGCAGACAGGCAGACAGGCAGATGGATAGATAGACAGATAAAAGAAAGGCTTGCAGTATTAGGCTACATCTGAATTTTTTTTAGACTTGGGCTTGTCTGCAAACTGGTGAAAAATCAATAAAGCAACTTCCCAGAGATACCCAAAGAGAAGGGATACTTCCTCCTCAAAGTTAGTGAAGGCACATATTTCTGACGATTCAAGAGCCAAATCTAAAATGATACCAACTGCATTTTGTTTCATTGGTCAGACATGCCTTCCTGAATAAAAACATCCTCCTGATTCCCCAATCGCAAGGCAATTAGCAGAAGCACTTGCCATCAACTACTGAGCCTTGCTCTGGTCTTGTTTAGCAATTGGATTGATCAGAGAGGAGAGGAGGTATACCTGGATATCGATGGGTCTCCATGTTTAGAACCATCTCTAGAGGGAATATATCAAAACCTCACTCCCTGCTATCACAAAAGAATGAGACTGGAATCCATCTGAAATCCCATCAGATTTATTTGTTATTAGTACTTTTTCTTTCTCCCAAAGACAGTGTAAGATGTGCCCCCTGGGTCTGTGGCTGGCTTATACTCCTGCAACTGGAATGCTGCTTTATTCTTCCTTAGTGTAAAAAGATCTGCAAATCTGTGAGCTTCCCCCTGGGATCCTCGTTGAAGCAGGGAAGATGGTGGAGTTGGAAAACTTCCCAACATAGTCATTAACTCGAGAAGTATCACATTTACTCTGTGGAGGAGGCTGCACCTGTACTGAGTGTCTTCACAGTCTCACACCTCCTTCCCTCTTCATGTGGTGTCACAGCCAAAGACGATGTCACTTTGTGGCACAAGAGCCAGTAATAATTGTGTGCACCTCAGGCAGGACTTGCTGAAGAGGGCAGAAGGGCCCAGTGCAGCTAGGGTGCCTTATGTATATTTTATCAGTGTTTGCTCTAAAGCAGAAGTTTCTTTTAGTTTTGATTTTGGGGGAATTCCATGTTTCCTTCACAGCACCTTTAGTTAATATAAGAAACTACTACTGTTAGATAGTCTTACGGTGTGCAGGCAATAATTAGCCAGATGCAAACAATTAACAAATCCAAATTAATTCTGCTAAGATTGTGCGAATAAATCATGTAAGTTGATGTACTGAGTTCAATGTCAGGGCTGGAAAGGATCTTTAAGAACATTTAGGGCCGGGCGCGGTGGCTTACGCCTGTAATCCCAGCACTTTGGGAGGCCGAGGCGGGCGGATCACGAGGTCAGGAGATCGAGACCATCCTGGCTAACACGGTGAAACCCCGTCTCTACTAAAAATACAAAAAATTAGCCGGGCGTGGTGGCGGGCACCTGTAGTCCCAGCTACTCGGGAGGCTGAGGCAGGAGAATGGCGTGAACCCGGGAGGCGGAGCTTGCAGTGAGCCGAGATCGCGCCACTGCACTCCGGCCTGGGCGACAAAGCGAGACTCCGTCGCAAAAAAAAAAAAAAAAAAAGAACATTTAGTTTAGTTCAACAAATTCATTTTACAGCAGATAAGGGAATTCAGGTGCAGCAAAGTAAAGAAATGTGTTTAAGGTCAGTGGATGTGTTACAAGTAGGACTGAGAACAGAACCCAGATTTCCCGGTGTATTCTAATTTTCTAATCACCATGTAAATGTCCATTTGCCATTTCTTTCTTTTTTTTTTTTTTTTTTTTTTTTTGAGACAGAGTCTTGCTCTATTGCCCAGGCTGGAGTACAATGGCACGATCTTGGCTCACTGCAACCTCCGCCCCCAAGGTTCAAGCGATTCTCCTGCCTCAGCTTCCTGAGTAGCTGAGATTACAGGCACCCGCCACCACGCCCAGCTAATTTTCGTATTTTTAGTAGAGACAGGGTTTCACCATGTTGGGCAGGCTGGTCTCAAACTGCTGACCTCTTGGTCCGCCCACCTTGGCCTCCCAAAGTGCTGGGATTACAGGTGTGAGCCACCGCACCCCGCACATTTGCCATTTATATTGCCACGTACTTCCTTATGTTTTAGAAGAAATAACAAATTCCCTGATATGTTGGGAAATTCCTCGATGTTTCTTACTGCTTCTGTGACACAGAAAAAGGAGGGAGGAGGTGAGGACTGTGATGAGAAAGCTATTAAGTTCCTTGCTGCTGAATTGATGGCACCACTGCCTTCAACACTCTATCCAGGAACCACCCATCTTGAGCACTCTATCCAAACAATATAATGTCCAATTTTGGTTGCATAAAACTGGATGCTATCACATGACTCAATGCATTTGGACATGTATGTGCACGGCACAACTATCACGTTCTAGAAATAATCCCAAAACGGTATCTTCACCACATTATGAGCTTTCTCTCCCAAGACGAGATTATTGAGGCCAGCAAAGGCTGACACTCCTTATGGCATCAGAGTAAATATATATTAGATTTTTCTGACTCGTACTGACAAACATAATCCGGTTGCTTTGATTACATATCAACAAACAGGACCTTGATTATGAAGCAGCAAATAGACTGATGTCACATTCATTAGAAATGCGGGAAAGATGATGGGAAAATGCCTGCTTACAGATGTACTCACGAATGTTATGACAACAGAGAAAACCAAATTCTTCATTCCTGACAATCAAGTGGTAGAGTTTATGGACCCTGCTATTCCACTTATTCCAACACTGACAGAAAACAATGAGAATGGGTTAGAAGGACTGAAACAAAAGTGGATTCTGAGGACACAGAAAGTGAACAACAACTGGGGGGTTGATCCTACTTAGCCTTTCAAGGTGCTGGGGATACCGTTTTTACACATCTCAACAATGGCTGAATAATCTGGAGGTTGCAATCTTCACACTTATTGATAAATAATTGGGTACTAGAAGGCACAGGGCTTGACCAGGGATTTCTTTGAGATCCAATTGAGCTTTTGCGGTTCACCCACAGGCTGTTAAGCTTTGAACCAGATTCACTTAGCGGTAAGCATTTGAAATGATAACAGCAATATAACATTTCCTCTCTTCTGAAGAGCTCTCTGATGCGGGCTTCAGAGAACAAAGCCCATCTGACAGATGAAGACGTGCCTACAAGTTAAGATACAGGGCCAATGACAGGGTGATCTGGGACTCCGCGCCAAGTCCAAGAATCCTACTGGGTCCAACCCCCAGAGTACCACTAAGCAGCCCGGCCAGACTTTGGCCAGGCAGCCACTTTCATGCACTGCCGGGCTGTCCATTTCTATAAACACGCAGCTGAAGAGACGCCAGGAATATCTCCAAAACAGAAAGCCCTGCTTTTGTCTGAGAAAGCTGCTCTGACCCCAAAGGAATGCACAATAGGAAATGAAAGTTGGACAGAAAATCAATTCCAACAGGAAACAGGAGGATCCCTGCTCAAGCTCAGTTCCAAGATATATCACTGTAATAACCCAGAGCAGCCTGGCCAGGGAGCCTCGGCCTCCACTCCTGCATGCGGCAGGAAGGCGGGAGAAGAAAGTGGCCCAGGGAAACCACAGTAGAGCCATGGCCATCCGCTGTCATTTCAATGAGGTTTAAATTCATTTGTGCCTCGGCCGAGCGTGGTGGCTCACGCCTCTAATCCCAGCACTTCAGGAGGCCGAGGCGGGTGGATCACCTGAGATCAGGAGTTCGAGACCAGCCTGGTCAACATGGCGAAACCCCCATCTCTACTAAAAATATAAAAATTAGCCAGGTGTGGTGGTGCGCACCTGTAATCCCAGCTACTGGGGGGCTGAGGCAGGAGAATCGCTTGAACCCAGGAGGCAGAGGTTGCAGTGAGCTGAGATAGCATCACCGCACTCCAGCCTGGGTGACAGAGTGAGACTCCATTTCAATAAAAAAATTAAAAATTCGGCCGGGCTTGGTGGCTCACACCTGTAATCCCAGCACTTTGGGAAGCCGAGGCGGGTGGATCACCAGAGGTCAGGAGCTCGAGACCAGCCTGGTCAATATGGCGAAACCCCGTCTCTACTAAAAACACAAAAATTAGCCAGGTGTGGTGGTGTACACCTGTAATCCCAGCTACTCAGGAGGCTGAGGCAGGAGAATCACTTGAACCCGGGAGGCAGAGGTTGCAGTGAGCCAAGATCGTGCCACCGTACTATAGCCTGGGCAACAGAGCAAGACTCTGCCTCAAAAAAAAAAAAGAAAAAAGAAAAAAAATAATTCATTTGTGCCTCTATCAATGAAGGGATGATGATTGTGTTTTAAGAGGAACTTGAACCAAAGACAGAAAACCCTTTTTAAAAAGGAGAGGTAGAAGTAATGAGTTGGCTTGACCTGGGACTCCACACCAAGTCCAAGAATTCTACTGGGTCCAATCCCCAGAGTAGAACGAAGCAGCCCAGCCAGACTCTGGCCGGGCAGCCACTTTCATGCACTGCCTGGCTGTCTATTTATATAAACACACAGGTGAAGAAATCTTAATAAAATGAACTTGCATTGAGCAAATCAATAGACTGTAATTCCCCACAAGAAGAAACTGCTATCTTTGGAGGTTCCACTCAACAAATAGTTGCTGTTAGGTCACGATCTGGGCCAAGTACTAGAAATAGAAAGATGATAAGATAAACTTATCCATACCAGGATTTCAGCTAGGCAGCAGGACACTGTGTTTTCACCAAAACGACTAGAAGTCTCTTCACAGAAGGACATTTTGCAATGTCTGCTATCCTCAGTTTCCCTGCTGGAACAATGGGAACCCAGTTCAAGACATCAACAGAGATGTTCCCAGGAAGCTCTCAGCCTCTCCTCGCAATCTCTGACTCACTTTGCCAGCCTATTAAATGGGTCGTCTGCAGACCTTAGTCATGAGAGTTACTACAGTACAAGGAGACTTATTTAGTAAATGGCCTGGTAAGTTGCTTAAAATGGTGGCTATTGCTGATATTATTTACTCGAATGGGATTTTGTTTTCCAGCTGGTACAGCAGAACGGTAGAAAGCATTCTGGATGTGGACCCCGCAGATAAGCTCTCCAGATCCAGCTCTGACCAATGTTAGCTGGGCAACCTTGGACATGCCCCCTAACTTCTCTGAGCCTCCGTTTCCTCATGAGATGGGGACACCTGCTGAACTCTGTCTCAGGACTGTTGTAAGAACTGAAAGAAGTTTTTTATGCAAAAGTAATATGAAAATTCTAAAACATTTTGCAAACTACTTAATTTTCATTACAATCTTCCTAATAATGTTTTTCTTACATTAGATATAAAATTAATTTGCCTTTCCTATGAAAATACCATCTGATAGTAGAAGGTCAGCTGGGTGAGGAAAAGCTGGCACGACATCAGAAATTATCCTTTATCCTTTTACAACCCATCATGTGGGCGACCCAAACTCAAAAAAAAAAAAAAAAAAAAAAACCCAGAATTGGATGTAAATGCAGTGTGACAGCCTTTCATTTGATCACACTTATTGGAAAAAGGATTTCATTTTCTGCACTAGACTCTGGGCAGCAAATAGGGCTGAAGGTAGTAAAGGCTGGCACCAACGCAATAATAATAAGGAACAGAATAAAAACAATGCGCCTGTTCAAACTGAGCTCTGGGAATGAGCGTTAAGCTAAAAGGCAGGCGGGAGGCAGCGAGCTGGGTTAGGAACACAAACAGGTTTAGTAATCAATCCAAAATCACAGTTGTGAAAACCACATAAAATGCCATCTGGCCTCCTGGATCGTGTAGAACATTAAGCAAAGGCAGCCTTCCAAGACACATGTTCTCATTTCTCTGAGAACAGCGCTTCTCCTTACCCAATCAACTGTGAAAGAGTCACCCAGATCCTGGTCCAGTGTTTCCGCCTTTGCCAGAATTGTTCGGAATGCTAGCGAAACAGCTCGCGGATCATGGGCAGCGGAGGCTGTTCATCCCTGATGTTTTCTGGATTTGGAGAGCTAATTGGTGACATGTGGGGTCTCTCCTGCTTTCCACACACTGCTATGACCACTGCCATCTTCCTCCTGCCTTAAAGACATATCTAAGCATAGCTTGTCAGCTATTCTGAAAACTAATTTTCTGTGTGGTATATGTAACATGAGAGTTATCAATTTAACCATTTTTAGGTGTACTATTCAAGAGCATGAAGTACATTAATGCAGTGGTTCATACATTGTTTTGCAACCATCACCAATCGCCATGCCCAGAACTTTTTCACTTTCCCAAACTGAAACTCGGCACCCATTCTCCCTCCCTCTAGCTGCTGGCAACCTCTATTCTACTTTCTTTCTCTATGATTTTGCCTGTCACATGAGCAAAACCATACAATGTTTGTGCTTTTGTGTTTAGCTTATTTCACTTGGCATAATGTCTTCAAGGTTCATGTTACCGCTATAGCACGTATCTTTCATTCTTTCTCCACGCTGAAGAATATGCCATTGTATGCATAGACCACATTTTGTTTATCTCTTCATCCATCAATGGACTCTAGAAACTAATATTTGTATAGTATGAGCCTACTCGTAGTGAATGAAGGTAAAATTTCCTTATGAGTTAGAACATTAGGGCTGGGCGCGGTGGCTCATGCCTGTCATCCCAGCACTTTGGGAGGCTGAGGCAGGCAGATCACCTGAGGTCAGGAGTTTGAGACCAGCCTGGCCAACATGGTGAGAGCCCGTCTCTACTAAAAATACAAAAATCAGCTGGGTGTGGTGGTGGGAGCCTGTAATCCCAGCTACTTTGGAGGCTGAGGCAGGAGAATCACTTGAACCTGGGAGGTGGAGGTTGCAGTGAGCCAACATCACACCACTGCACTCCAGCCTGGGCAACAGAGCAAGACTCTGTCTCAAAAACAAACAAACAAACAAACAAACAAAAACTGATGCCCATCAGGCATCAGTCTTTCAGATTCACAAGCACACACAACATCTGCCACCATGGTGTCCCATCTCCAAGCCACGAGGCTATGGGTTCAGGGAGGACAGAAACCATGTCCTCATTTGACCCTAGTCCCACTCCCATCAACTAGCACAGTACAGAGTAAACCCATAAATGTTTGATAAAGGACTAAGTAATACATTTTTTCCTTAGGCAGAGCCTACTCCTTTTCTCTAAGTCCAATTATTTTCTAAAAAATCATAGTTTCTCAGAGGATATTTCCTCCAAAGAAAGGCTTTCAAAAGACAATTGTGACTCTAATTTTTCAAGGCAAAATTTATTGAATCAGCAAACCAGAAAGACAGTGTATGGCAGTAGAAAGAATAATAGACATGGAATCAGCAAAGACTCAAATCCCACCTCTGCCTTCCACTTGGCTGTGTGACCTTAGTTAAGTCACCTGGCCTCTCTGAATTTCAGTTTCATCATCTGTAAACATGGAAATAATAAAAATTGCTCTTTTTTATTTTTTGAGACAGAATCTCACTCTGTCACTCAGGCTGGAGTGCAGTGACGTGATCTCGGCTCATTGCAACCTCTACCTCCTGAGTTTGAGCGATTCTCCTGCCTCAGCCTCCCAAGTAGCTGGGATTACAGGTGTGTGCCACCACGACCGGCTAATTTTTGTATTTTTAGTAGAGATGGGGTTTCACCATGTTGGCCAGGCTGGTCTTGAACTCCTGACCTCTGGTGATCCACCCACCTTGGCCTCCCAAAGTGTTGGGATTACAGGCGTGAGCCACCATGCCTGGCCTTCACAGAGTTACTTTGAGAATCAAATAAAATCTCCAGAGCTGACAATTTATATTAACACAGTTCATACTATTAAGTTTGGGTAGGTCAGTTCTGCTTGCTTCAGCATATACACAGAAAAACAAGGCCTGTGTTGCTCTTAAGCGTGCTAGCTAAAAAGTCGGGACATAAATGAAATGATTCAAGAGTGCTTACAAGTTCTGTGTGGAAAAACTACAAAATGAAGTACAGTCCTGAGATGAGGCCAGAAAAAGAATTTTTGAAGAGCTGAATGTTGACTGAGCTCCCTAGGAAAATGGCGGGCATGAATCAGCAGGGAGCAGAGGGGATGGAATTCTAGACACATGATGGAAAGTTCATAAAGACGAGGACGTGGAAGCCAGTAGCTGGGCAGGGAAAAGTGAGGCCGACTTCGTGAGCAAGGATTTTGTTCCTAACATTCTGGGCATCCCATGGCGATGGGAAAGCAGGGGATCTGGAGTCTGAATCCCGCAGGGATGGTCCTTTGGCTGCACGTCCCCCACCCAGGACTGACCTTGGTGCACACTGTGCGGCTCCAAACCCACTTCCAGCAGCTGCCCGGTGGCACCTGTGTCGGGGCCCTTATATCCCCACTCAGATTACGACCCACATCTCTGAACTATTCTGCTTGCCTCTGGTTCTGAACACACTCCAATCTTGTAATCATGGAGATTCAGAATGTCTTATTAAGGGGTGTCAGCCAGTGAGATGGTTCTTCAGCACAGAACCTGTGAGAAGACAGACTTCAGTTAACACAGATATTAGTCACTTGCTCCTAAGTGGGGAATGCCATATGTAACACTGCGCACCCCTGTTCTCTGAATTTACCTTGGGTAAATATCCTAGCCCATAAGAAAAAAAAAAAGACAAAACGTGAAAGGTTGCTGAACCCTAAAACTTCCTTCCCCAAAGTCATAGGTCCTAGTAGCATGTACAACCCAATTCAATAAACTCTAAGCATTTTAGGCTGGCAAACAACCAGACTCTGAACATCTAATGAACGTCTGTCATGTGTTCAACATTACGCTAGATGCAGGAGGTACAAAGATGAATAATGGAGAGGCAGAGAAGTGTCCACATAAGTTCAAGTGTGAACCAGAGCTGTGTCAGGCCAACTCAAGTTCTAAACACAGTTTCACGCCCATTCAGGCCTCCTTATTCCTCAAGGCCATCAAGTCAAGGCAAATCCACCCAAGCCACCCTCAGAATGCAGCCCAAAGAGTTTCTCAGGCAAATCCAGCGTGCTCAGAACTAGTTGGAAGAATTTTTTCTAAATGGACTTACAGGATATCTTACTTCCAATTAGTTCTAGTCCATGAAAAGTAATATTTCCAGTAAGGACTTAAGAAAATAGTAAACAGAATCGTCATCTCTAATGTTCAAATGATCTCTTCCCAGTTCACTCTCGTCACCTCCTTCCTGGCTCACCATGTGTGCAAATGCGTCAACATCTCATGTGCTTTCAACACAGACTGAAAACGCCACTGAATGTGAAATCAAATGAGACCTTGAGAGGCAGGGATTATGATTTCATTCACTAAATGAACTGATGATATGGATGTGAGGACAGGAACCCATGATACGGACCCATGGGTAGAGTTCTCTGTGTCTTCCTTAAACTCGACCTTAGCCATCTGCCACTGCCCAGTTCAACCTTATTCTTCTAAGCCTGCGTCTGTATCACACAAATGACTAGTTGAGTCAAGCAGTCAACCGGTTCCATTTTGTGAAAAATCAATTAAAAAACTGACTGAATTGACCATTTGTTGAACTGAAGTATCAAAATAATTCAGCTAAAATTTTAAACCAATGGTGTGTGTAAACATTTCCCTAGGATGTATAAAGTTATATCGAATGTTTGAAAAGGGTTATTTTCTCTCCATCCCAAATAACAGGTTTTTTAAAAACATGTTTATGCTTCATTATTTATGTCTTGATTGGTGTCACATACTATACGGGCCCTAACTCTCTGCAATTTTCCCCATGAGTTGAAAGAGACTAGGATGTACTTTAGAAAATATGAGAGCAGTCAAAAACAGAAGCATCTGCAGAACTCAGCCTGGCTCCCTCAAGAACCCAGCCGGGCACAGTGGCTCACGCCTGTAATCCCAGCACTTTGGGAGGCCGAGGCAGGTGGATCACTTGAGATCAGGAGTTCGAGACCAGCCTGGCCAACATCGTGAAACCCCATCTCTACTAAAAATACAAAAATTAGCCAGGTCTGTTGGTGGGTGCCTGTAATCCCAGCTACTCGGGAAGCTGAGACAGGAGAATTGCTTGAACCCGGGAGGTGGAGGTTGCAGTGAGCCGAGATCATGCCCCTGCACTCCAGAAGCCTGGGTAACAGAGCGGGACTCTGTCTCAGGGAAAAAAAAGTAATAATAATAAGAACTAGTCTGAACCCTTTCCTGGTCTCCACTTCCAGAAATTCTCTTCTCTCTATTCCTAATACAGCTAGACCAAAAAAGAAATTCAACCATTTAGATAAAAAACCAAAAGCCTGCTACATACCTGGTTGAGTTTCACATTGTTCAAGGGTAGTCTTGTTAACTTTGACTCCTTAGGAAGACAAGTCAACTCATAAAGCAATTCAGAAAAAGGAAAGGAATTATTGTAAAATTTTGAAAGAAAAGCTATCCAACTCCTCCAAAGATGTAAGATGGGACTGCGCAGAGGAACCGTGGAAGGATTGTCCTGTATAGTTAGACCCTCATGCTTTGCTTCTTGCCTTGAGAACAGAATAAGAGAGGGAGGGGAGGGGAGAGGGGGAGACTTACCACAGATCCTCTCACTTTATGACTTGGAGGGAAATGAGAGCCTGGAGACCCCGTGGGAGGTTTCCAACACAACTGTGCCACCTTCCATTTCTATAGCTCCTTTCTCTGAAAAACCTCTAAGCGTTTTATGAACCTTGCCATAGACTCCGTGTACACAGCCCCTCAGGACACAACACAGGCCACCATCATGGTCTATATTCTTTAAAGGAAGAACTCAAAACAGTCAAACAGACTTATTTCTCACCCGGATTCTGCCCATGGAAAATCAGAGTTTTAACTTGCAAATTCAAAGACTTATTCATATTGATGCTTCTTCCAAGAAGACAAAGCAAAATGACTACATTCCATTTTATACATTTTCCTAAACAAAAAAATAAAAAGAAATCGGCTGGGTGCAGTAGCTCACGCCTGTAATCCCAGCACTTTGGGAGGCCGAGGCGGGCAGATCACCTGAGGTTGGAAGTTCAAGACCAGCTTGACCAAAATGGAGAAACCCCATGTCTACTAAAAATACAAAATTAGCCGGGCATGGTGGCACAAGCCTGTAATCCCAGCTACTCAGGAGGCTAAGGCAGGAGAATTGCTTGAACCCGGGAGGTGGAAGTTGCGGTGAGTGGAGATTGCGCCATTGCACTCCAGCCTAGGCAACAAGAGTGAAACTCCATCTCCAAAAAAAAAAAAAAAAGGAAAGAAAGAAATCTTCCTTCTTTAATGACCAGGCTTTTGCCCAAGAATCTCTTCACTACCAGGAGCCATCTGCTGTGAGGCTCAATTCTACCTTCAAAGACCTGGAAGCCACCAGGGCTGGGGGAATCAGATCTGGGCACTTTGTTCATTTGTGTCAGGAGCAGAGTCCACGCTGGTCATTTGTTCCCCATACCTGACCAAATCCATGCCCTGCAAGGGTCCAACCCCACAACATCTCCTGTGGCCGTCAACCACCCCCTCCTGCAGCATAGTGTCAATCCCAGTGTCATCATCTCTGCTGCCAGCTCCCCAGACTCAGCCATCACCAAAACAGACTGATCAGGACATTGCCAAGCAAAAACAAAACAAAAGAGACAAACCAAGTAGAAGACAGAGCGAAAACAAGGTTTTTCTTAGCCTTGGGGATAGGATTAGGAAAGATTAAACACACACACACATACACACACACAAGACTTGAGTCAAAAGCCTCTCTCAATTACATTTCTCAGATTTTATTATATTATCTTTGTGGCACAGTTATTAAACATTAAAGATAATGACTTCATTCTGTAAGTAACCTAATATTGAACATGATTGATAAGCAGACCTGGGCTTTGAAGAAAACTCTGAATGTTAAAATTCAGGAGCAGGGACGGCACCGAAGCAGTTTGGGCCACAAGGTTAATGAACTGTCAGCCAGAGGGTGGCTGCAGATGTTTCATTAGGAGGAAGCTGTGTTGTTATGACATTGCTTCTGTGACCCAGCGAGAACCGAGGGAAGGTGGAAAGGGAAATGGCCTAGCAGATACACATCTGGTTGACTCCACTGACAGTGATCTGCCAGCCACTTCCAGAATCATTCAGTGAAGTTAGAGAAATGCTGCCTGAAGATGCTCCCGGGAGACAGCGCCAGAAGGAAGGCCTCTGTGTCACACAGAAAACCAGATGCCTAAGGCAGTGAAAGGTGTTGCTGAGTTACCACATTTTTTAAATGACATCCAATGAAAAGGTAAAATAGTACCCAATGGGGGGAATATGGGCAAGGGGGAAGTAGAGGCAGGTGAAGCACCTGCTCTGAGATCCCGAGGAAAAGGAGCCGTGCACCATCCCCTCTAAAGTGAGCCACTAGCAAGGACCGTTTGAGGACTTACACGGCGACACTGAGCCCCTCTGCCGCCTTGCCAGCCAGCCAGCCCACATCAGAATGAATGGGGGTTGCACCACCGGGCAGCTGGCAGTGACGGTTCCCTCTCTTCCCCAGTGCACCAGCTTCCGGTGCCCCATGTGCACTCAAGGCTGAGAGGACAGTCTGGAACAGAGCTCAGAGGGTTTCGAAGACTGCACACTCAAGATTTGAACAAATACCATGACAAGGTTCTCAGTAACTTTAGTGCGAATTCGATGTCATCGGATTGCTTTCTTCCTCACACCCCGCTGGGTAGAGTGTTTTGATGGTGGAGAATGGAAGGAATTTCATGTCCAGCCTTGCACGCCTCTACATGTATTATCTATGCAGCCCAGGATGATTTTAAAAAGTAAATTGGGTCACCTCCCCTGTGTCTGTAACCCTTCAACAGCTTTCCAGTCATCTCTTGGGAAAGTGCCTTGGCTCACCCAGCCCCAGGAGACCCGGTCTGGCACACCTCTGCCATCCCTCACCCCTGAGCTGAAGCCATTCTGTCCTCTCCCAGTTTCCTGCACCAGGGCCCTTCTGCACACTCCCTCTCTCTGAAAAGTGCTCCACCGTACCGTCTCTGGGCCCCACACTGTCACCGCCACCTCCTCCATGGCGAGAACACCCCTTCCTACCCACCTCTTAGGTCGCAGCTTAAATGCCAGGTCCTCAACAAGGCAGGTCCCCTCTGTTACCTGTTTCTAGTCAAACATCCATTTCGTAGTTTCTAGTCAAACATCCATCTTTCCCAGTGGAGAACAGGAATCTGTCTTTCTTGCTCACTGCTGTGGTCCCGTCGGGTGTGGGGTCTAGTTTATACAAGATGCTCAGGAGAACAGTAGGTGTCCAGGATGTATCACCCATTGAATAGGAGGACCTGGGCGCTGACAGCCACACAAGGCCTGCATGCTTGGGTCACAAAGCAGTGGAGGGATCAGGGAATAGGAGATGGGGAAGGGCAGGGATTCAGAATGCAACCAAAGAGAAATTTTATCTTCTTTGGAAGACTTTCCAAGACTTGGGCTAAATCTAATACTTGTTGGACTCAAAGTAGTCAAGTGCTTTAGAGTACCTACACTATGCCAAGAATAATAGATTGTTTGCAAAAATGTCCTCAATTACTCTCCTCCACGTATCCCTGCCTCTTTAAAACCTATCTTTGCAGTTCCTCCTCTCAA
This sequence comes from Homo sapiens, assembly GCF_000001405.40. NCBI lineage: Eukaryota > Metazoa > Chordata > Mammalia > Primates > Hominidae > Homo > Homo sapiens. The sequence goes on along the minus strand of NC_000001.11, from coordinate 245,291,224 downwards.
AGAAGTCAGTTTTCCTTCCCTTTAAGTCAGGACTGGCTCTGTGACTTCTGCAGCCAAGAAAATACAGCAGAAGTGATGATGTGCCAGTTGAGCCTGGGCCTCAAGAGGTCATGCATACTTCTGCTCCCTTTCTTACAGCCCTGCCCAGTTGCCACTTGAAAAAGCCCAGGCTAGCCTTCTGGAAGATAAAAGATCACAGGGAAAAGAGACAACACCCCCAGCTGAGGCCTACTTAGAACACCCAGCACTCAACGGCCTGGAAGCTGACCACAGACACATGAGGGAGCCCAGCTGAAACCAGCACTGACCAGCTGGGCCAGCCTAAACTGCTAGTCTGCAGAATCATGGCTAAATAGCTGCTGTTTTAAGACACTAAGTTTTGCAGTGGTTTGTTATGCAGCAATAGATAACTGATACACCAAGTAGGGTTAGAGGCATTTGAACCAGAGCAACTCCATCTTGAATAGGAGCTGGGTAAAATGAGGCTGTGACCTGCTGGGCTGCATTCTTAATCACAGGATGAGACAGGAGGTTGGCACAAGATACAGGTCATAAACACCCTGCCGATAAAACAGGTTGCAGTAAAGAAGCCGGCCAAATCCTACCAAAACCAAGATGGCCACGAGAGTGACCTCTGGTCGTCCTCACTGCTACACTCCCACCAGCACCATGACAGTTTACAAATGCCATGGCAACATCAGGAAGTTACCCTACATGGTCTAAAAAGGGGAGGCATGAATAATCCACCCCTTGTTTAGCATATCATGAAAAAATAACCATAAAAGTGGGCAACCAGCAACCCTCGGTTCTGATCTGTCTGTGCAGTAGCCATACTTTTGTTTCTTTACTTCTCTAATAAACTTGCTTACACTTTATGGACTCATCTAGAATTCTTTCTTGCATAAGATCCAAGAACCCTCTCATGGAGTCTGGATCGGAACTCCTTTCCAGTGACAGTAGGTACTGAAAATGCAGACATGAGTAAGGTATACCTAGGTGAGACAGACACTACTTCCATTCATTCATTCATTCATTCATTCATTCATTCAATAAAGGTTTGATTAAGCACCTACTGAATGCTAGGCTCTGTATTAGATCCTGGAGATATAGAGGTGACAAGACACAGTGCCTGACCCCAAGTAAAAGAGGATATAGACAATAAATAGGCAATTCTAAAATAAAGTGGATGAAGTGCTAAGACGGGAATAAGGAAGCCTAACAGAGCTGGAGGAAGGATGGAGGGTAGGGTGGTTTGGGAGGGAGGGTATTTTGGGAAGACTTCTCAGAGAAAGTGATGTCTAAGCAGAGACCTAAAGGATGGTTTGCTTAGTCGGGAACAACAGAAAAGGTTTTTCTAAGCAGAGGGTTGCTACTTCAATCTGTACCATGTTCAGGCAAAAGGAGGATAACATGTATTGTTTCCATTACATTTCCTGATGTTGTTCCTCTCTTTGTTGGTCTTTTGAATGAACTGAGAAAACTCAGGAATAAACTCCCAACTCTCCTGCAGAAAAATTGGGAATCCTATCACCACATCAAAAGTTTCAATTGAACACACCTCCACCCCCAAAAAAGGAAAGAAATTCAGATGGATGAGAAAGGAAAATCCAGAGGCTCTGATTCTGTTGTTATTCAAGGGGAAAAAAGACTTCAAGACTTCATTGGAGCCACAAAGCCACAGTTTAAGTCAGCAATTTTCACCCTTGATGTCGCATACCACTCCTGATTACACCAATTAATTAAAGTGGGTGCATCTGGTTCCTTCTCATTTTCTGCTATCAGGCAAAGGGTAGCTAATAATAAATGTTTATTAGATGATTTTTTCAAGTCCATACACTTGCCGAGTCGAAAATCACAATAATAATAATTGCCTGGGGTAACAGAAGGTTCCACAATGCCTGGATTCCTATAGCATGCCGGTAATTTCTTTGATGATAGTCTTCTCTTCAATGACAGAAGATGCTTTCAAATCCCACCCTGTAACCACATTTACGACTAAATCAAAATTCTAATTTCATTATACTTTATAAAGAGTGTTGTCTGAGTTGATCAATCAGCTCTGGTGAAGATTCCAAAATTAATGGTGATGGAGAGAGAAACATTTTGTTACTGAGATACCTACTGTTAGTCATCAAATCTAACAGCCATTGGCTACAAACCAACCCGACTTCCTCTATATGTAAGTCATGCAGAAAAAGGTAGCATTAACTTCAGAAGCATTCAAATACAATGGAACCCATTATGTTAGCTGCCTGTGTCATAGGCATGGAAGGTTATTTAAAAAAAAACAAACAGTTGTGGCATTGTTTAGATTGACTTTCTTCTTCCCAGTAAAAACTCCCTTCCTTGAACTAGCAATAGTAAACTGAAAACAGGGTATTCAATTGCCATGAAGTCTTTTAGGGAAAAAGAAATATTTTAGGAAAAAAAAATCAAGACCTTTGGGTTATCCTTGTTTCTGTAATTATAGGGAGGTTATAAGAACTAATTCACAAACCTATGCATGGTATAGCTCTTCTTCCCCAAAACGTAACGGAACTAGACAAAAGTAGAATCAACTCATTTAGACTTAAGCCATTCGGAACCCCACCATCCATGCATTCTGTGATGCTGTCTCTCCGGGAGTCCTACTGGCCCAGCGGCCCACCACAGTCAGGCAAGACTTCATCCCTGATGGACCCCCAATCTTTACGGCATATGTTCCCATGTCCTTCTTCCACACGAGTGCCACCTTTTCCAGGGACATTTGCTCAATACTCTTTGGCATCAGCTATCATTTCTGGTTGGAAGTATGTTCCGGAGGCATTTAGAACTGATCGTTAAATGGGATGCTGCATTATCCTCAATCCATTTATGCTGTCCATTTTCCTGTCTTCTGTTGGTTGCTAAGGAGATTAGTGTGAAATGGGGTCCCTGTCCTAAGGGGTTAATCATTTTACACTGCTCACTCCCCACAGAAGTCATAATCTGCTGTGTGTGAAATCATGTTTAGTTGCTGTGAAAATGATTACGATGCTCCGAATGGAACATGATGGCCTCAGGTGGGAGATAAGTATTCAGAGCAGATGGACTCCGAGAAAATACAAAAGTTCTTCCAGGAATAATGCTCGCTCCGAAAGTAGAGTGGGATGAAGAGATGGTACAAACAATATGTAAGAAAATATGAAAAAAAATAATTTGGTATATGGAACTTGATTCTGCTGGTGGATTTCCCAGCTGTCTCCTTTTCTGTTCTTTTTTTTTTTAAGCCTATCATAGTACTCTTGGAGTACCTAAAAGATAATTATCAAAACCCAGAAGATGGTGGGAAAAATAAGTATGAAAGATGGAAAGGAGTTGTCACTTTTCAATGAAATTCCCAAGTTACTACTGAAGTTAGGAATTCCTTGCTCCCCTGTGGGCACGTGTCAGTAAAGAGATCAGGCCGGGCGCGGTGCCTCACGCCTGTAATCCCAGCACTTTGGGAGGTCAGGGCAGGCGGATCACCTGAGATCGGGAGTTTGAGACCAGCCTGATCAATATGGAGAAATCCCGTCTCTAATAAAAATACAAAATTAGCCGGGCGTGGTGACGCATGCCTGTAATCCCAGCTAATTGGAAGGCTGAGGCGGGAGCATCACTTGAACCCAGGAGGTGGCGGTTGCGGTGAGCCGAGATCGTGCCATTGCACTCCAGTCTGGGCAACAAGAGCGAAACTCCGCCACAGGAAAAAAAAAAAAAAAAAAAGAGAGAGAGAGATGAGACACACAGGGACCCTCAGATCAAAGGCTCTTAATAATTACACAATCCGACCAATAATTTGGAAGAAAAAAACGCATTTATATACTTTACAAAAAACTAGAAATAACTAAAACAATATGCAAACAGTGTCCAATTGTAAGACTCAAATTCTGCTTTTTAATGGCTTAAAGTAACAAACATTAACCAGTACACGAAATGAACCATATATGAATCCTTAAAAAAAAGTTTAATAAAAATGAAATGAAATCATTAAAAATATATACTGATCACCACAATGGAAAAATAGCCCCAGACCTGCAAATATTTCCTGTTATATGTGATAAACAGGTTTCTGAAAAGTTGTAAGAAAATTTTTTAAAAAATTTTGTTTTTTTTGAGACAGAGTCTTGCTGTGTTGCCCAGGCTGGAGTGCAGTGGCAAGATCTCGGCTCACTGCAACCTCCACCTCCTGGGTTCAAGCGATTCTCCTGTCTCTGCTTCTCGAGCAGCTGGGATTACAGGCACATGCCACCATAGCTGGCTAATTTTTTGTATTTTTAGTAGAGATGGGGTTTCACCATGTTGGCCAAGCTGGTCTCAGACTCCTGACCTCAAGTGATCTGCTTATCTCGGCCTCCCAAAGTGTTGGGATTACAGGCGTGAGCCACCGCACCCAGCCAAAATTTTCAAATTGCATGAAATTTTTAATGTTTTGGAAAAGTTTGCTACTTAAATTTACCTTGCACCAACTCCTTTTATAAAGTGAGGAATCTTTCATTAATTTATGAATAGCCACCACCTAATTTATCTTTCTTGTAAATATAACAAAAGATCTAGATGTCTTGAAAATAGAACAAGTTTGTATCCCATTGTTTTTCAGCACAATGAGGATATAGTTCTTCAGTGGCTTAAGAATCAATATTTAAAATGTGTGAGTTTGACACGTTTTATTGTTTTTATTTTTAGACAGGGTCTCACTCTGTCGCCCAGGCTAGAGTGCAGTGGTGCCATCTTGGCTCACTACAACCTCCGCCTCCCAGGTTCAAGCAATTCTCGTGCCTCGCCCAACTGGGTAGCTGGGATTACAGGTGTGCACAATCACACCTGGCTAATTTTTGTATTTTTAGTGGAGATGGGGTTTTGACATGTTGGCCAGGCTGGTCTCAAACCCCTGAACTCAGGTGATCCACCCAAAAGTGGATCTGGCCTCCCAAAGTGCTGAGATTACAGGCATGAGCCACCACACCCACCTGAGTTTGAGTTTTGTTTTACCTTGTCCTACCCATCCCGGCCACAGGTTATCCACAGGTACCCCCAGAGACCAGGTGACATCCTGACGTATGATGAGTAAGTTGTAAGAAACGATTCTCCCACAGGAACTCCTGTTCTCAGGAGCCCTACCCTGCCAAAGTAGCAAAGCTGGGGGAAGCAGTGAACCTCTTGAGTTGGCATTCTCCTGATGTTCTTTTTCTTTTCTTTTTTCTTTTCCTTTTTTTTTTTTTTTTTAGAGAGAGGGTCTTGCTCTGTCATCCAGGCTGGAGTGCAGTGGTGCCATATAGCTCACTGCAGCCTTGAAATCCTGGACTCAAGGAATCCTCCCACCTCAGCCTCCCAAGTAGCTGGGATTACAACTACGCACCACCACACCTGGCTAATTTTTATTTTTCATTTTTAAAAATTTTTTGGTAGTGATGGAGTCTTGCTTTGTTGCTTGCACGTGGAGCAGACTGAACCCAACCCACAGTGGGGCACCAGGCTGGTCTCAAACTCCTGGGCTCAAGTGATCCTCCCTCCTCGGCCTCCCAGAGTACTGGGATTACAGGCATGAGCCACTACCACACTTGGCCTTTTTTTTTTTTTTTTTCAATTTTAGGAAATATCTCATCTGGAATATCCCACCTGAGAGACTTCAGGAGTAGAGATGAACATACTTGAGTAATAAATCAAACCCTCAGGAAATGTAAACGTTTGAGAATGGAATTCAGTGAGCACAGATCCACAGCACTAGCAAGCAGAGGTAAAGGAAAGCAATTTCCCTGTGGCAAATTGAATTAATGATCAAGATTCTCTACCTGTATCTAGACCTTCTGCCATGTGACTTTGCCGCTCCTTCCACTAGAGGCAGAATATGTTTCCTATTGGACTGAGGACCACATGAGTGGCTCTAGCTAACGGAGCATGGGCAGAAAGGAAGTGCATCAGGTCTAGACCTTAGGAGGCATTGCATGTTTCTGCTCATGCATGTTTCTGCTAGGCACTCTTGGAATAAATTCTGCCACTGCCATGAGGAGAACATGCTCTATGGATCTGAGGAGGATGAGAGACGTGTGGAGCAGGCTGAACCCAGCCCACAGCGGGGCACCAAGCTGAGCTGAGCACAGCCTGGACCAGCAGACCCTAACTGACTCCCAGACACAAGAGCAAAAATAAATTATTGTTTTTGTTCGCTTGTTTGTTTGTTTTTTGAGACAGAGTTGCGCTCTTGTTGCCCAGGCTGGAGTGCAGTGGCACGATCTCTGCTCACCGCAACCTCCACCTCCCAGGTTCAAGTGATTCTTGTGCCTCAGCCTCCTGAGCAGCTGGGATTACAGGCATGCGCCACCACGCCCGGCTAATTTTGTATTTTTATTAGAGACGGGGTTTTCTCCATATTGGTCAGGCTGGTCTTGAACTCCCAACCTCAGGTGATCCGCCCGCCTCAGCCTCCCAAAGTGCTGGGATTACAGGCATGAGCCACTGCGCCCGGCCAAATTATTATTTTAAATCACTAAGTTTTGTGGTGACTTGTTACACCACATTAGGGCAAAAGATAACCAATATCTGGTATGCTATTTTATTGGTATTTGCTTTACATTTTTAGAAGTATAGGAATCTAAATGAGAGAACTCTACAAAAACTAGGATTCCCCAAAGGTCAACACACTCAGTGGGTTTACTCAAACAAAAACCTGCCCCACAGAAATGAACTGAGGATACAGGCCCCTCTCAGACTTTGTTCTGGGTGCAATAAATGAAATGAAGAAATGCCTGCCTGAGTTTAGGGCTGGAGTCAGAATTTACACCACCTGCGTTTTCAAAAAAACCCAAAATGTATTTGTAGGAGGCCTTGGGCTGGTAATAATACTCCAGGTATCTGGAGAAATAAAACCCCAGTCCTTTCTGGAAGAAGATCCTCAAAAATTCCCCAGAGATAAAATTATAAGGAATATGAATCCTAATTTTAAAATTACTGTAGCTAAATCAACACAGATACACCTTTTTAAAAGTAACATTTAGAAAATCAGTATGTTGAGAAAAATACATACTATATACCATTGATAAAAAGTTCAAAAGGAAGCACGACTAAGCAATACATTATTTAAATATTTAATATGTGGTTAAAAAACTACATTAATATCAAGGGGTTGATTGATACTAAATTCAGCACAGTGGTTGCCTCTGATGGGCTAGAGAGGGAAAGGAGGGATGAGGGAAGCCGCATTGCGTAGGGACTTCAAAAGTGCTGCTCATATTCTCAAGCTGCGGTGCGCAGCGGCTCACGCCTGTAATCCCAGCACTGTGGGAGGCCAAGGCAGGCAGATCACAAGGTCAGGAGTTCGAGACAAGCCTGGCCAATATGGTGAAACCCAGTCTCTACTAATAATACAAAAATTGCCCAGGCATGGTGGTGGGCACCTGTAGTCCCAGCTACTCCGGAGGCTGAGGCAGGAGAATCGCTTGAACCCAGCAGTCGGAAGTTGCAGTGAACCAAGATTGTGCCAGTGCACTCTAGCCTGGGCGACAGAGTGAGAGTCCGCCTCAAAAAAAAAAAAAAATTCTCAAGCTTGGTGGAGGGTAAATGGATGTTCTTTTTCACCACTATTCTTTAAACCTTATCTTTACACTACATATACTTTTTTGCACACAGGTTTTACAATAAAAGTAAACAAATAAAAGAGAGGCTGCACAGGTACCAGACTGCCTACAGCCCAAGTCTGAACAGTGTCACAGACCAATAACTCCCCAGAGCCAGCAAGGTTTTCCAGTGGTGACCTTCAGGTGACCTTCCTCTTTTCCAAGAGGGTAAAAAGAAAAAAACAGATGGTGAAAGGTACTCATCATGAATGGTTTAGGGGGCAACACTCTAAAAAGAAAGCATATGGGGTGTGAAGAACTGATGAGTCGGGGCTTGGGCGGATTGGGCTTGAGGTGGTTGGGCTTGCGCGGATTGGGCTCGCGGTGGGTGGGCTTAGGCAGATTGGGCTCGCGGTGGGTGGGCTTGGGCAGATTGGGCTTGCTGTCGGTGGACTTGTGCGGATTGAGCTTGCTGTCAGTGGCTGTGTTGCTCTCCGGTAAAGGCGTGTTGTTTTTGACAGTGACCTCTGGGCTGGGATGGTCCATGCTCCAGGTGGTGGCAGGGGGAGCCAGGCTGGAGCCATGGCTAGTAGGTGGTAGCAGCTGGACTCACCATTGTAGCTGTAGAATTTGCAGGCCATTAGGTGTTGCAAGCCATGAAGCACATGGAGCCTCAAGCAGAACAAGTTTTTCAAAGTCTACCAAAATCTGCCTTCGGTGGTGGCTACTACAGAGGTGGGTTTGAACCCAAAATGACAAAATGGGAAGCAGCATTAATACTCCATGTATGCCCGACTGCCAATAAGGGAAAATAATTGCTGCTCACAGACAAATTATGCTCTTTTTCTTTTTTTTTAAAGGAGCGGAGAGTTTAATAGGCAAGAAGGGGCAAGAAGGGAGAAGGAAGAAGCTCCCCTGTATAGAGACAGAGGGAGCGGGGGCTCCAAAGCGGAGACAGGGAAACCCACCTGCCCCAGATACCAGCTAGGTATACAGAGGCTGGAGGAGGCGATGTCTGATTTGCATAGGGCTTAGGGGATTGGTTTGATTGGGCATGTCATTGATGTAGCCCTGGAAAAAGCTGGCCCTCCCACCCTAGCCTTCTAATATGCAAATGCAGGACACATGATGTTCTACACACTTGGGGATACGTGGGGGCGGCCATGTTGCTAGGAACAGGTGGGGAAAGGCCAAGAAAGTGTGGGAATCGCCATGTTTGGGTGGACCCAGTTTCTAACGGCTTCCATTTGCATATCAAAGGTTGCCACCTGGCTCTAAGAGACTGGGCTTTACGAGAAACTTTTCCGGAGATGCTTTAAAAAACGAAAACTTTGAAGTCAGGTAGTGTGATGCCTCCAGCTTTGTTCTTTTGGCTTAGGATTGACTTGGCAATGCGGGCTCTTTTTTGGTTCCATATGAACTTTAAAGTAGTTTTTTCCAATTCTGTGAAGAAAGTCATTGGTAGCTTCATGGGGATGGCATTGAATCTGTAAATTACCTTGGGCAGTATGGCCATTTTCACGATATTGATTCTTCCTACCCATGAGCATGGAATGTTCTTCCATTTGTTTGTATCCTCTTTTATTTCATTGAGCAGTGGTTTGTAGTTCTCCTTGAAGAGGTCCTTCACATCCCTTGTAAGTTGGATTCCTAATACTACAAGGCTACAGTAACCAAAACAGCATGGTACTGGTACCAAAACAGAGATATAGATCAATGGAACAGAACAGAGCCCTCAGAAATAACACCGCATATCTACAACTATCTGATCTTTGACAAACCTGAGAAAAACAAGCAATGGGGAAAGGATTCCCTATTTAATAAATGGTGCTGGGAAAACTGGCTAGCCATATGTAGAAAGCTGAAACTGGATCCCTTCCTTACACCTTATAAAAAATCAATTCAAGATGGATTAAAGACTTAAACGTTAGACCTAAAACCATAAAAACCCTGGAAGAAAACCTAGGCATTACCATTCAGGACATAGGCATGGGCAAGGACTTCATGTCTAAAACACCAAAAGCAATGGCAACAAAAGACAAAATTGACAAATGGGATCTAATTAAACTAAAGAGCTTCTGCACAGCAAAAGAAACTACCACCAGAGTGAACAGGCAACCTACAAAATGGGAGAAAATTTTCGCAACCTACTCATCTGACAAAGGGCTAATATCCAGAATCTACAATGAACTCAAACAAATTTACAAGAAAAAAACAAACAACCCCATCAAAAAGTGGGCGAAGGACATGAACAGACACTTCTCAAAAGAAGACATTTATGCAGCCAAAAAACACATGAAAAAATGCTCATCATCACTGGCCATCAGAGAAATGCAAATCAAAACCACAATGAGATACCATCTCACACCAGTTAGAATGGCAATCATTAAAAAGTCAGGAAACAACAGATGCTGGAGAAGATGTGGAGAAATAGGAACACTTTTACACTGTTGGTGGGACTGTAAACTAGTTCAACCATTGTGGAAGTCAGTGTGGCGATTCCTCAGGGATCTAGAACTGGAAATACCATTTGACCCAGCCATCCCATTACTGGGTATATACCCAAAGGACTATAAATCATGCTGCTATAAAGACACATGCACACGTATGTTTATTGCGGCATTATTCACAATAGCAAAGACTTGGAACCAACCCAAATGTCCAACAATGATAGACTGGATTAAGAAAATGTGGCACATATACACCATGGAATACTATGCAGCCATAAAAAATGATGAGTTCATGTCCTTTGTAGGGACATGGATGAAATTGGAAATCATCATTCTCAGTAAACTATCGCAAGAACAAAAAACCAAACACCGCATATTCTCACTCATAGGTGGGAACTGAACAATGAGATCACATGGACACAGGAAGGGGAATATCACACTCTGGGGACTGTTGTGGGGTAGGGGGAGGGGGGAGGGATAGCATTGGGAGATATACCTAATGCTAGATGACGAGTTAATGGGTGCAGCGCACCAGCATGGCACATGTATACATATGTAACTAACCTGCACAACGTGCACATGTACCCTAAAACTTAAAGTATAAAAAAAAAAAAAAAAAAAAAACGAAAACTTCCCAAGGACCCCTTTTCCTCTTTATCTGCCTAAAATAATTTCTTTTCTTTTTTTTTTTGAGACAGAGTCTCGCTCTGTTGCCCAGGCTGGAGTGCAGTGGTGCGATCTCGGCTTACTGCAAGCTCTGTCTCCCAGGTTCACGCCATTCTCCTGCCTCAGCCTCCCGAGCAACTGGGAGTATAGGCGCCCGCCACTATGCCCTGCTAATTTTTTTTTTTTTTTTGTATTTTTTGTATTTTTAGTAGAGACGGGTTTCACCGTGTTAGCCAGGATGGTCTCAATCTCCTGACCTCATGATCCACCCGTCTCGGCCTCCCAAAGTGCTGGGATTACAGGCGTGAGCCACCGCACCCGGCCAAAATAATTTCTTAATAACTCCTACAACATTCCCCACTGTGGAGATGCCACACTAACTGCTGTTAGGGGGTTCTGGGTGACGACTCCTGGCTACTTCTGCTGAAATGGGGCGCCCAATGGGGAGCAGCAGCTAGGCTCCTCCTGGGGTTGATCTGGACCTCAAGAGGAGAGATCACCCAACTCACAGAAGCAATCAAACTCCAAATGGTACTGTAAACTGAGCCACACATGGACACACCATTCTTCTAAATTATGCTCTTAAATCACTCAACGGAGTGATTTAAGCAGCCAAATCAATGAAGCTTACATAGCAGCCAAATCAATGAAGCTAAAGATTTACGAGGGAGTCAAGCTAAAAAAAATGAAGCAAAGGTATAATGAGTTTTAAGTTCCTATTAGTTTATGTATATGAGTACTAACTTTGTATAATAAAATGCCTCAGAGCTACAATTTTAAAAAATGATTTAGCACAAGCTAAAAAAAAAAAAGAGTGATTACTTGGGGAGAAATGAGAACAGTCAGCTTTTGATGAAGATCTGTGTGGCCGCTGCTTCATACAGATAAAAAAAAAGCATCAGGCATTAGCCCCTAAACCTCAAAGTGCAATCAAGAAAGTAAATGTAGTCTGGGCACGGTGACTCATGCCTGTAATCCCAGTATTTTGGGAGGCTGAGGTGGGAGGATCACTTGAGCCCAGGAGTTGAAGACCAGCTTGGGCAAGATGGCAAAACCGCATCTCTACAAAAAATTTACAAAATTAGCCCCGTGTGATAGTGCATGTCTGTAGTCCCAGCTACTCAGCAAACTGAAGCTGGAGGATTGCTTGAGCCCAGGAATTTAAGGCATTAGTGAGCTATAATTGCACCACTGCACTCCAGCCTGGGGTGACAAAGCAAGACCTCCTCTCTAAAAAAAAAAAAAAAAAGAAAGAAAAAAGGAAAGAAAAGAAAGTGAATGCACTCTGTCTGCTGATGAGTGTGAGTGCCTAAAACAATACAGAAGGAGTGATAAGAAGACCCCTTCCCTTGACTTCAGCTAATTATGAGTTCTTTTCAGACACATATGGCTCCAAAACTACCTGGGAGCACATTTCTTAGCACAGTTCCATGCATGGGAACAGTGGTTAACATTCCATGATCCTTCCCCATCTCCTTCAAGAGGGTCACGTGCTCCGTAAGCATGACAGAGGCTTCGTAAGGAACTGGCTATCAGACACGTTGTGTGAAAGCTGGGCTGTAAATAGAATGAATCTGAGGAGAGCCTGGGCTGTGGGCTTAGTGTCCAGCTGTTTTGAAATTGATTCATTCATTACTCCTGCATGGGGGCAAGTCCCATAGTGGTTACTTGGTACTTCATCCATCCAAGAGATCAGTGAGTCTCCATTTCATAGGCCAGAAAACAGAAAGATGAGCTAACTTTCTAAAAGCTAAACAGCAAGCGTGTGGCAGAGCTGGGGCTGGAACTAATGAGCCCAATGTACTGGTCCCAGGAAGAAGTTTCCCTTCTTTAGAGAGGAAAAGCAGAATACAAGAGATGCATCAAAAGCAGAGTGTAAACGTGTGAGGGTAGGAGTAGGTAGAATTTATTTTCTAGGGAACCCCCATCACCAATATTTATCTTCATCTTTCCTTCTAACAAATTAAGACTTAGTAAGCATGCTGACTATTCCCCACACTAGACTTCTAGAAAGAAAAATAAATTTCTGATTCAGGAAAGGAACTGTTCATGCCCAAAAGAGAAAGCAGAGACCTGCCTTTATGTCAAGGCTATCGATTTAGGCCGGAAATTCTGAATGCAAAGTAATGAAATAAAGGAGTTCTGAAAATGGCAAGTGATGTAAAATAAAGGGTATACTTAATAATGTCCATGACTTGAAAAGGGGACTTTGGCAGCAAAATCAGTGCAAAGAAATGAATAGTCAACAGTACCAGATGAAAATGGATGAAATGAGTCCTGCTGACTGAAACAGGAGAAAGAGGACGCTGATGACACATGGGAAACAATACAGGTAAATTGTTCTCCTCAAATTGATGCATGGTGTAGAGTCTGAAGTGCGATTTCTATGGCAATACTTGGGGAAAATTATAGCACTCTAATGCAGGTACAGTTCTTCCTTTTGTTATTATGCCACCTCCCTTTCCCCTAACCCTTTTAGAATAATTTTCCTGCCTGCCCACTTTTACTCACTCCCAGTATTTAATAACTTCACCCCACCCCTTCCTAATTTTTTCCCTCCATGCTTTGCCATGAGCCGTCAGTGAAATTGAGATACCAGCCTATGACGAAATTATTTGCAAGATGTTGACCATGAAAGGGGACAAGAAGCTACAATAGATATTCAGGGATAAGAATGAGGGCAGCATACCTCCTTGTGGTTTTACCTGATGCACCAGGGGTTCTTCCAACCCCCATCCTCCCTGCAGTTCTACTCCAAGCCCCCTTCCCACTTCCCAGTCACCATGACTGCAGACACTGCTGCACCCAAGAAGAGCATTGGCAGAAAATGGCTGCACAAAGAATCACGTTAGAAGAGAAAGAAGGCAAGAATGCAACCTGTAGCTTTTAGGACGTTTCTTTTACTTTTTTTTTAAGTGGTTTTTGTTTGTTTGTTTTCAAACAAAATCCTATATTAATCCCCCTAAAAATAACTTATCTAAAACTTGTTTTGGTTAATGAGGCCAGGGGTCTGGAGCCACACAGGCTCAGCCTTCACCTCGCACACTCCCCACAAAGCAGCCCACAGGGCACCTGCAGGGGGCACCAAGAGCACCTTCAGGAAGCCCCAGGGCACTGAGGAAGGCAGTTTGGACCTCACTGAACAGAAATCCCTAGTCAAAACACCTATGTGGATAACAGCCGTAGATACAGGTGGGCTCACAGAGAGTGAAGACATAGATAAGGCTATTGACCAATAAAGGTCTAAAATCCTCCTCCTAGATTTTTGTAGTAAAACTCCCAAACTCACTTCCCATGTCCCTGGGGCTGCTGTAACAAATTACCACAAGCCTGCTGGCTTAGAGTAACAGAAATTCATTCTCTCATACTTCTAGAGGCCAAAAGTCCAAAATCAAAGGTGTCAGCAAAGTGAGTTCCTTCTGGAGAGCCTAAGAGAGGATCCATTCCACACCTCTCTCCTAGTGTCTGCTGGTGGCCAACAATCTTTGGCATTCCTTGGCCTATAAACATAGTATTCCAGTCTCTGCCTCTACCTTTGCATGGCCTTCTCCTCTGTGTTTGTGTCTCCTCCATTTCTGTCTCTCATGACACTTATCATTGAAATCAGGTTCCACCCTAATCTAAGAAGATCTCATCTCAAGATCCTTACCTTAATTACATCTGTAAAGACCTTCATTCCAGGAAGTGACTTCGGCAACATGGCAAAATAGGAACTGCAAGACCCTCTTTGTCCCTACAGAGACAGCAATTCAACAAAAATACATAGACTACTTCCCTTTGTGAGAAATACGGAAACCAGTTAAGAGGCTCCTGCATCTCAGGCTGCTGCAAAACCAGATGATCAAAGCTGGCAGGGAAATTCATGGCATCCATTCACCATAGTCCCTCCCCCAGGTCAGCACAGTGTAAGCAAGAGGAAACTGCCAGCTCCTCGCTTCTCCCGGGAGCGGGGAAGAGTAGACTGGATCATAGTCCAATGTCCAGGCTTTTCAAGGGGACTGCCCAAGGGATGGTTTAGAATAGGAAAGGGCGCCAGGTCAAGGGATGCTGAGAATAAAGGAAATGGTTTAGATCAGCATGTACTTATTTGTCATAGTCCATGCCCTCTAGCTCAGCACAAAATAAACAGGAGAAAACCCCTAACTCCTTACTTCTCCCTGGGGAGGAAAAGAGTTGGAGCATGTATTCAAAGTTCTAGCTTTTCAGGGAGAATTTTTTTTTTTTAAGATGGAAGTCTCTGTTGCCCAGGCTGGAGTGCAGGGGTGCAATCTCAACTCACTGCAACCTCTGCCTCTCGAGTTCAAGTGATTCTCCTGCCTCAGCCTCCTGAGTAGTTGGGATTACAGACACCTGCTACCACACCTGGCTAATTTTTTAATAGAGTCGAGGTTTTCCCATGTTGGCCAGGCTGGCCTTGAACTCCTGACCTCAGGTGATCCACCCACCTCAGCCTCCCAGAGTGCTGGGATTACAGGCATGAGCCACCGTGCTTGGCCCAGGGAGAATTTTTAAAGCAACAAAAGAGAAGCAAATTTTCCCATACAATAGAACCCCTAAAAGGCTATCAGTGGACTTCACAGCATAAACCTTGCATGCAAGAAGCAAGTGAGACAATACATTCAAAGTGCTGAAAGAATAAAAACCTGTCAACGAAGGATACTTTCCAAGAATAAAGACTTTCCCAAATAACCAAAAGCAGAGGAGTTCCTTGCTACTAGACTGACTTTACAAGAATTACTAAAGGGAGTCTTTCAAGATGAAATGAAAGGATGCTAGATAGGAAAATGAAAGCATATAAAAGTATAAAGTTCACT
The DNA here is from genome assembly GCF_000001405.40 of Homo sapiens. Taxonomy (NCBI): domain Eukaryota; kingdom Metazoa; phylum Chordata; class Mammalia; order Primates; family Hominidae; genus Homo; species Homo sapiens. The sequence goes on along the minus strand of NC_000001.11, from coordinate 245,275,741 downwards.
ACCAAAGGTAAACATATAGACAAATACAGAATACTATAATACTGTAACAGTAGTGTTTAAATCACTTTTAATTCTGGTATACAGATTAAAAGACAAAAGTATACAACCATCTGATCTTTTGAGAAACCTGACAAAAACAAGCAATGGGGAAAGGATTCCCTATTTAATAAATGGTGTTGGGAAAACTGGCTAGCCAGATGCAGAAAATTGAAACTGGACCCCTTCCTTACATCTTATACAAAAATTATCTCAAGATGGATTAAAGACTTAAACGTAAGACCTAAAACCATAAAATCCCTAGAAGAAAACCTAGGCAATACCATTCAGGACCTAGGCATGGGCAAGGACTTCATGACTAAAACACCAAAGCAATGGCATCAAAAGCCAAAATTGACAAATGGGATCGAATTAAACTAAAGAGCTTCTGCACAGCAAAAGAAACTATCATCAGAGTGAAAAGGCAACCTACAGAATGGGAGACAATTTTTGCACTGTATCTATCTGACAAAGGACTAATATCCAGAATCTACAATGAATTTAAACAAATTTACAAGAAGAAAAAAACAACTCCATCAAAAAGTGGGCAAAGGATATAAACAGACACTTCTCAAAAGAAGACATTTATGTGGCCAACAAACATATGAAAAAAAGCTCATCATCACTGGTCAGGTCATTAGAGAAATGCAAACCAAAACTACAATGAGATACCAT